>NC_000004.12:79375926-79527441 GCF_000001405.40 Homo sapiens | reverse complement strand
GTCTCTTCTGCAATAAGAGACAACAGAAACCTATAAAAACAAGCAAGAAGTCTGTGTCACACACAGTCTATAGCCGAGGACTGCTCTCTTCAATACTCATGTGATTCATGACTCACTCAGTCATCGCGAACAGAAATTTGAAAGTACGCCTTGCAGGTGAAAACAAAACCAGTGAAACATTTGATTTGTCTTTGACATCTAAACATCATATCTTGCTTGTTTGGAAATCTGACTAAACGAGATCGACGATACGTCCTGTTGTAGTCAAAGCTCAGTGATCTAGAGGAGGCGAAGTTTGACTCAGGATTAACATAAGCCACTGTGGGACCTTGGAGTCAGACTCAAAAACTTAGATTCCATCATGCCCTTAATTATCAAATGTGTTTCCTGCGAAGAAAGGAGTACTGTTTAAAATGTTTGATAATCTGACAAGGCCATAAGGCTTAATGGAATCGATGATTACACACAGATGGACGATTAACTCTCGAGGTTTAACGTAAAAAAAAAAAAAAGAAATTGTGCTGGATTGCTACTTAATGGAATTACACTGCCCATATGGAAAAGAACTATACCCTAAATATACCCAGAATGATGGAACAGGTGGCAGAATCTGGGCAAGACTGCTTGGAATGCACAAAAGCATTCTGAACTTGTAACTGCCAGAAAAGATTCCTGGAGAAAAATAAAAGAGGGGAATCTTTGAAAGTGTGTTAACTTTTCTACATTTTGGAAATATGAGTTGCAAAAATAATTAGAAAACTGAAACCCAAAGTACATTTTTTCTGGTAGGTCTTTTTTCTATACTATCTTTTGGAAACCTACACACTATGACTGAGGTAATGTTACGATGCATGAATTAGTATTTAGCTCCAACATAAACTCAGCAAGGGCAGAGACCATTTCTTTCTTAGTCATAGCTTGATCCTTCAAAAAATATACTTGAGGAAAGGAAATTAAAACTATTAGCAAAAATAGTTTTAAATGAAGATTGGCCATCGTTTCTGAATTTCATATTCTTTACTAATGTTTTACATCCCCCCTTCCATGAATAAACAAGAGCTGCATATGTGAAAATAGTGGCAGGATATGAACACAAGTAAGCATTTACATATAAATGAGCAAATGATAAGGTAATATAATTCCAATTAAAAAAACTACTGCTGATAGAAGGTAATTTATTTGTGATGTTTTGCTCCAACTCGGCAGGGTTTTTATTTTAAATATTAATAACCTTTCAGATCACACATACTCCATCCTTCATGGACATGGAGGGGCACGAGGATAGAATTTGGAAGGCCTTAGTAATAATAAATTTAGCAGGGAAGTGGCCCTGAGCACTTACTATGTGTAAGAATTTATTTATTTATATGCATCTTTTTATTTAATTCTTAATATAGCCCTTTGTGTTGTTTCCCTATTTTACCAATGAGGAATCTGACATTAAGTAGCTTCCTAAGGTCGCAGAGCTAGTAACTCATAAAGTTGGAACTAAAATAAGAGACTGGTCTTGTCGAGGTCCTTTCACATATAACCATTTTTGTCAATGCCTATTCAGCATGATCTCTCCTTGCTTCTGTGTTACTTCTCCAGTTTTGCACATGCCTGAGCATTCTTGGACTCTTTCTTGTGCCTGATGCCTTCCATAAACATTATGGATCCACACTGTTTGCCAGCTCTCTGTTATTAAGATCTTTAGAAAAGTCATAAGGATAGAAAAGACAAGAGAGCCCTACCCACAACAAAATAGTTAACCACAAAAAAAAAATACTAAATGATGAAATGAGTGTAAAGAAGCTTTACAACATTTGGTTTCTCTTCCGTAAAGTACTAAGTTCTTTTTTTTAAATTAAATGTTAAATTCTTAAAAAAATTTTGTTGGTGTCTCTGTTTTATTGATGCATGTAGCATATGCTTGTTATGCCTACTGGATAATTCAGGAAAACTCTATCCCTGGGTCTACTAAACAATTCTTGCTATGGACTGAATATTTGTGTTCCCCAACCCCAAATTCATATGTTGAGACCCTAATCCCTATTGTAAGGGTATTTGAGGGTCAGGCCTTTGGAAAATAATTTGGTCATGAAGATGGAGCCCTCATCAATGGGATTAGTGCCTTTATAACAAGAAACATGAGAGATACGATCTCTCTCTCAAACATGTGAGCATGCATCAAGAAGGTGGCCATCTGCAAACAAGTAGGAAGCTCCTCACCAGACGTCAAATTTGCTGGTACCTTGATCTTGGACTTCACAGACTCCAGAACTATGAGAAATAAATGTCTGTTGTATAATCCACCTAATCTATGGTATATTTGTTACAGCACCCCAAGGGAAAACCATTCTGAAAAATTGGAAAATAATTACCTTGGTTAAACTAATCACTGCATTTCGTCATATAATTTTGGCAAATTAATACTTTTAGATCTCTTTTATGACTCTACCATGAAAGTGGAACACACTTAATTGTTCTCCCTAAAAGTAATTTTGACATAATCCCACAGACCAATTGCCTACTAAAATTATAGACACAACTTCTTCTAACTGCTTGCTCCTTAGCATTCCATATGCTTAGGATTTTTTATACATTTTTATATATGTGTATGGTTAAATTTTTTTTTTTCAGACTTTTTTCCCTACCCAGAGAAATTTTGTCATTGACAAGATACAAGATAAAACAGAGAACAGACTTCTGGTCCAGTGAGAAGACCTCCTTTTAGTCTTTAATATTTTATTTTCTGCTAATTAGTTGTAAACTTTTTTCTCTTATATGTTCCAGGCTTCCATTTTTCTCTTAGGATACTTACCTTCATTATGTCATAGGAATTACAAGACAAATTAAGAATGAAATGGAAAACTACTTGAAAAAATGTAGAGTAAATGAGCTGTTGAAAATTGGGGACAATATGCTTTCCTTCCTCGCCGTGTACTGCACAGTATAGATGTTCAGTCAGCCTCTATCACAGATAAATGAAAATGGTTCCTATCCAAATAGGTTGTAAAAAACTTGAGAGTAAGGGGCTTACCTTACAGTGGGGCCACAAAAAAATGTTGCTTTTGATAAGGGGTTATACAAAATACAATGACTAGAGTAGCATAGAGCGCAATGAAATCCAAATATTTTAGGTAGAAAATATATGCACTTTCTTTTGCACTTGGACTATGGACATAGTGTCCTTTGTTATTGTGGGGATTTTTTTTTGGAAAATAAAGAGTATTTTATCAATATAATATAAATTATTTATGCTACTATCAAAGTTATTTTGTGCCTATCTAGGAATCTTGAATTTCTAGAATTCTAGAATTTCTAAAACATTTTGAATATCAATTATAGTCTTATTTTTCAATAATCATTATAGCTTCCAGTTCTACATAAGATATTACTTCCATTCCCCAGCAAATAGCTTACTGTTTTGATGATGTAGAGTAAGGGAAATACATTGGTAGAAACTAGTGTTGAATCATATCTTTATCTTTTTAGCAATTGATAGGTGTACTTTTAATAAGATATATAGAATCACTATTTAATATCCTTAAAACATTTAGTATTTCATCACATTGGACATACTTTGAACATTTCTTATTAGTGGTTTTTAAATGGTGGGCTTATTTTATTTATTCGTTTTTGATACAGTGTATTTTTTGCCAGATAGATACTTAGTCTTATGATTGAAATGAAATCTTAAAAACTTATCCTAGTCCAAAGTGGCTGTCTCAAGGAAACTATTATGCTACAATATTTAATGCAAGATTAACTAATAAGGAAAATCCTAAGGCAGCCTGTGAGATGGAAATCACCAGAGGACTCTTCTCAAGAGTAAATGGGTTGGTAGAAATGCTGCAATAGCCCAGATAGAGACAACGGAAATAATGGTATTCCTTTGAGATTGATAGCAGGCTCTCTATTTAAAGGCACTGTTTTCACACTGGGAATTTCAACACATTTTGCTTTTGTTTCTGTAGATCTAACCAGGTCCTGAAAATGATCCTAGTCACTTACTTCTTGGTTGGTCCAAGTACATGACTGCCTCACTAAAGGCCAAATAGAAGAGAAAGAATGGTGATTTGTCTACTGGATGGACTTCAAAATTATGAAAGTAGAAGTGGTTGTTTATTGGTTTTATAGAAATATCATCAGAGAAGATGAGAAATTGCAGGCTCTGGAGAATACACACACACACACATTCAGTCAGTCAAGGAACAGAGGGTCAAGTAGAATGAACGGTACCATCCAGATTCCCTATCATCTATAGAGCATTATCAGACATGGCTTTTCTTAGCAGGGCCGAGGAAAGAATATTTACAAGATCACAGCTACTCAAAACCCAACATGCCAACTTCTAAATATACGCCGTTGGAAAGTATAGGAGTGGAGAAAAATACAAGAGCTTAAAAATGTTGGTTTTTGATGCTTTTGAACCAATTCTCATGGCGATTTACACCATAGCCTGCAAGACATATCTCAGGCATTTCTTGTGCGGAATAAGACTTTCCCAACAATTAGCATAATAGCTTCAAACCACACATGATGGGAACAACTTTATCTTGATTGTTCTTCCTTATAAGACATCAAAGGTGGAACAGAGCAGAATAGTCACGACACAGATGAAAAAAAAAAAAAACATAATCATCAGTGCTTGTTTTTACCATCCTCCACCTAAATGTTTTCTTACACTGTTTTCTTTCTGCCTTCTCCCCTCTCCAGGCTCTGTTATCCTCCCTACACTCCAACTATACTACTCTAATTTTGCATTCTGAATGTCTTTATGCTTTGGTTCTAAATCTCCTAAAACAGGTCCTGATATTTCATATTTAGATGTGTATTTATATAGTCTCATTTTTTTACTTACCAGTGTTCACACACACACACACACGCACACACAAGATACAGAAAAATGAGAAGAAGGAATATCTCAATTAAATCATGATTAGCAACTTTTCAAAGACAAGGTTGTAAATGTCAGATCCAGGGAAGTTGACATAATAAAGTGTTCCTAATTTTAGTTTCCATTGAAGGTGAGCGGTCTGTGGCTAAAGATTAACATCCCTCTCTAATCAGAAATATCTGAGACACTTTTTATTCAGGTATGCCTAGTCCTTTTTCTGTAGATGATTCTAGTATAGCTTTATATTTCATGAAAGTCAGTCTATGAAACCTATTTCTGAACCCACAGTAGTAGTCCCTTAGATAGGACTTCTCTTCACCCAATCACCAATACATACACAATTCCAGCATTCTTTAATTCAAAATCTGGATTTTTTTCATCATGTGACTCCAGTGAAACTGGTGTTTTACAATAATCTACCCAAATTATATGTTCAATACCATTCACATACATCTGAATGATCTGTTCTATAACCATGAAGGATATCCGGAATGTATTGTTACAGAGAAGCAAGACAAAATCAAAATACTACAAGCCCTATCACCCCTTAAGGCCCAATTTTAGGCACATTAAAGGTTTTGTATGTATTTAAAATATTCATTATTCTTTATTAAATCACTTTCAGAATTCCTTATTTTCCCGTAGCTTCTGGGAACCAGTTGCATAAAACTTAGCACAAAATTCTTGTACAAATTTACCCTTGTGCCTTTACTGCCAATTATTACATGTCCTGTTGACATCCTAAACCAGACATGCCATTTAAATAGTAAGCTATCATAAGAAATATACAGACTTTTATCTTAATATAATGTCATCTATATGTTGCTGTGAACCTGGATTTGAAAATATAATAGGATGGTCATTCTAAGGCAAGAGCGAGAGGGAAGTATAAGGTTTTTACAGGTACCTTCAAAAGCCTAATTCAAGCTTAAATGTGGTGACTGACAAGTGTTTATTTTATTCTTTAACTGAAAGCTATTCTGGGGTTTATTTTGTCATTTTAGGGGTCTTCTTTTTGTTAATTAAACCATCCTTTTGGAGAGTTTTTAAAATATTTTTTTCTTTGTCAGCTATTGGTTATTAAATTGTAGTCCTCAGCTTATGACTGCAGTAACAGATGTCTCCTAGTTGGAGTGAGGTCAGAAGGTTCCTTTTGAATGAATGTAAGGAAAATACATCAGTACAATAGAGCAAAAGGTATGTATGTCCCAGACAGCTGAAGAAGTCTGCTCAGGATACAAAGTAGAGATAGGGCATTAGTGCACTTAATCACTTTTGTGTTTGGCCTAAAATAATTTAATGATTAACTTAGAAACCAGGGAAACAGTCATAGAAAGTTGACAGTTTCAGTATGATATTGGCTTGGGTTTGTCATATATAGCTCTTATTATTTTGAGATACCTCCCATCAATACCTAATTTATTGAAAGTTTTTAGTATGAAGCGTTGTTGAATTTTGTCGAAGGTCTTTTCTGCATCTATTGAGATAATCATGTGGTTTTTGTCTTTGGTTCTGTTTATATGTTGGATTACATCTATTGATTTGCGTATGTTGAACCAGCCTTGCATCCCAGGGATGAAGCCCACTTGATCATGGTGGATAAGCTTTCTGATGTGCTGCTGGATTCGGTTTGCCAGTATTTTATTGAGGATATTTGCATCAATGTTCATCAAGGATATTGGTCTAAAATTCTCTTTTTTGGTTGTGTCTCTGCCAGGCTTTGGTATCAGGATGATGCTGGCCTCATAAAATGAGTTAAGGAGGATTGTCTCTTTTTCTATTGATTGCAATGGTTTCAGAAGGAATGGTACCAGCTCCTGTTTGTACCTCTGGTAGAATTTGGCTGTGAATCCATCTGGTCCTGGACTTTTTCTGGTTGGTAAGTTACTGATTCTTGCCTCAATTTCAGAGCCTGTTATTGGTCTATTCAGAGATTCAACTTCTTCCTGGTTTAGTCTTGGGAGGATGTATGTGTCGAGGAATTTATCCATTTCTTCTAGATTTTCTAGTTTATTTGCGTAGAGGTGTTTATAGTATTCTCTGATGGTAGTTTGTATTTCTGTGGAATCGGTGGTGATATCGCCTTTATCATTTTTTATTGTGTCTATTTGATTCTTCTCTCTTTTCTTCTTTATTAGTCTTGCTAGTGGTCCATCAGTTTTGTTGATCTTTTTAAAAAAAAAAAAACAGCTCCTGGATTCATTAATTTTTTGAAGGGTTTTTTGTGTCTCTATCTCCTTCAGTTCTACTCTGATCCTAGTTATTTCTTGCCTTCTGCTAGCTTTTGAATGTGTTTGCTCTTGCTTTTCTAGTTCTTTTACTTGTGATGTTAGGTTGTCAATTTTAGATCTTTCCTGCTTTCTCTTATGGGCATTTAGTGCTACAAATTTCCCTCTACACACTGCTTTGAATGTGTCCCGGAGATTCTCGTATGTTGTGTCTTTGTTCTCATTGGTTTGAAACAACATCTTTATTTCTGCCTTCATTTCATTATTTACCCAGTAGTCATTCAGGAGCACGTTGTTCAGTTTCCATATAGTTGAGTGATTTTGAGTGAGTTTCTTAATCCTGAGTTCTAGTTTGATTGCACTGTGGTCTGAGAGACAGTTTGTTATAATTTCTGTTCTTTTACATTTGCTGAGGAGTGCTTTACTTCCAACTATGTGGTCAGTTTTGGAATAGGTGTGGTGTGGTGCTGAAAAGAATGTATATTCTGTTGATTTGGGGTGGAGAGTTCTGTAGATGTCTATTAGGTCCACTTGGTGCAGAGCTGAGTTCAACTCCTGTACATCCTTGTTAACTTTCTGTCTCGTTGATCTGTCTAATGTTGACAGTGGGGTGTTAAAGTCTCCCATTATTATTATGTGGGAGTCTAAGTCTCCTTGTAGGTCACTAAGGACTTGCTTTATGAATCTGGATGCTCCTGTATTGGGTGCATATATATTTGGGATAGTTAGCTCTTCTTGTTGAATTGATCCCTTTACCATTATGTAATGGCCTTCTTTGTCTCTTTTGATCTTTGTTGGTTTACAGTCTGTTTTATCAGAGACTAGGATTGCAACCGTTGCCTTTTTTTGTTTTCCATTTGCTTGGTAGATCTTCCTCCATCCCCTTATTTTGAGCCTATGTGTGTCTCTGAATGTGAGATGGGTTTCCTGAATACAGCACACTGATGGGTCTTGAGTCTTTATCCAGTTTGCCAGTTACTGAATGGGAAAAACTGGAAGCATTCCCTTTGAAAACGGGCACAAGACAGGGATGCCCTCTCTCACCACTCCTATTCAACATAGTGTTGGAAGTTCTGGCCAGGGCAATCAGGCAGGAGAAGGAAATAAAGGGTATTCAATTAGGAAAAGAGGAAGTCAAATTGTCCCTGTTTGCAGATGACATGATTGTATATGTAGAAAACCCCATTGTATCAGCCCAAAATCTCCTCAAGCTGATAAGCAACTTCAGCAAAGTCTCAGGATACAAAATCGATGTACAAAAATCACAAGCATTCTTATACACCAATAACAGACAAACAGAGAGCCAAATCATGAGTGAACTCCCATTCACAATTGCTTCAAAGAGAATAAAATACCTAGGAATCCAGCTTACGAGGGATGTGAAGGACCTCTTCAAGGAGAACTACAAACCATTGCTCAATGAAATAAAAGAGGATACAAACAAATGGAAGAACATTCCATGCTCATGGGTAGGAAGAATCAATATCGTGAAAATGGCCATACTGCCCAAGGTAATTTACAGATTCAATGCCATCCCCATCAAGCTACCAATGACTTTATTCACAGAATTGGAAAATACTACTTTAAAGTTCCTATGGAACCAAAAAAGAGCCCACGTTGCCAAGTCAATCCTAAGCCAAAAGAACAAAACTGGAGGCATCACGTTACCTGACTTCAAACTATACTACAAGGCTACAGTAACCAAAACAGCATGGTACTGGTACCAAAACAGAGATATAGACCAATGGAACAGAACAGAGCCCTCAGAAATAATGCCACATATCTACAACCATCTGATCTTTGACAAAAGTGACAAAAACAAGCAATGGGGAAAGGATTCCCTATTTAATAAATGGTGCTGGGAAAACTGGCTAGCCATATGTAGAAAGCTGAAACTGGATCCCTTCCTTACACCTTATACTAAAATTAATTCAAGATGGATTAAAAACTTAAATGTTAGACCTAAAACCATAAAAACCCTGGAAGAAAACCTAGGCAATACCATTCAGGACATAGGCATGGGCAAGGACTTCATGTCTAAAACACAAAAAGCAATGGCAACAAAAGCCAAAATTGACAAATGGGATCTCATTAAACTAAAGAGCTTCTGCACAGCAAAAGAAACTACCATCAGAGTGAACAGGCAACCTACAGAATGGGAGAAAATTTTTGCAATCTACTTATCTGACAAAGGGCTAATATCCAGAATCTACAATGAACTCAGACAAATGTACAAGAAAATAACAAACAACCCCATCAAAAAGTGGGTGAAGGATATGAACAGACACTTCTCAAAAGAAGACATTTATGCAGCCAAAAAACACATGAAAAAATGCTCATCATCACTGGCCATCAGAGAAATGCAAATCAAAACCACCATGAGATACCATCTCACACCAGTTAGAATGGCGATCATTAAAAAGTCAGGAAACAACAGGTGCTGGAGAGGATGTGGAGAAATAGGGACACTTTTACACTGTTGGTGGGACTGTAAACTAGTTCAACCATTGTGGAAGTCAGTGTGGCAATTCCTCAGGGATCTAGAACTAGAAATATCATTTGACCCAGCCATCCCACTACTGGGTATATAACCAAAGGATTATAAATCATGCTGCTATAAAGACACGTGCACACATATGTTTATAGCGGCACTATTCATGATAGCAAGGACTTGCAACCAACCTAAATGTCCAACAACGATAGACTGGATTAAGAAAATGTGGCACATATACATATACATATAGCTTCATGGAATACTATGCAGCCATAAAAAATGATGAGTTCATGTCCTTTGTAGGGACATGGATGAAACTGGAAACCATCATTCTCAGCAAACTATCGCAAGGACAAAAAAACCAAACACCGCATGTTCTCACTCATAGGTGGGAATTGAACAATGAGAACACATGGACACAGGAAGGGGAACATCACACACCGGGGACTGTTGTGGGGTGGGGGGAGTGGGGAGGGATAGCATTAAGAGATATACCTAATGCTAAATGATGAGTTAAATGGGTGCAGCACACCAACATGGCACATGTATACATATGTAACAAACCTGCAAGTTGTGCACATGTACTCTAAAATTAAAGTATAATAATAATAAAATACAAAAAAAAGAAAGTTGACAGTTTCATCCATGTAATTTTCTCTTAAAATGTATTTCACTCATGCCAGCAAATAATACTAGGTAAAGCACTGTCCTTTCACATCCCTTAGAAACTGTTGCTGTAAAATTATTTATTAGCAAAATTGAAACCATCACTTCAGATTTCACTTATACATTTTCACATAGCTCACCTTCAGTGTGATCCTATATTTATGCCTGTCTAAGCTCAATATCTTTCAATATTTACTTATTCAATTTAACATTTACTGAGTACCTTTTTGTGCCATAAAACATACTGGAACGTGGCATCTGCCTTGTGTCTTGAGGATGCTATATAAAGAGATAGATAAATATAGATGTAGATGGGAGCATTGATTTATAAAAATAAATGCAGAAATGAATATGTAAAAATAAATATAATAAGGTGATAATACAGTGTGGATATTTAGAGAGTACAGAGCTTATTTTGAAATGCTTTTTATTTTAATATATTTATCTTATTATTTAACAACTATTTATTTGTAAGCCTGGCATTACTGTTGTCATAATTCTTACATATTATAGAAACTTCAAAACAGAAGTGATTCCTAGATTCTGTTCAGTGTTAGAAATTGTTATTAGATTGAAGACCAATTCATGTCTTATGGAACAGCTCCATTTTCAGAAACGCACAAAAAATGTCTACCAATCAAATCCCAAAGAAGATCCATCATTCATTTATCTTGAAAAAATAAAACTTGCTCAGTTTAAGCTCTTTTATACTATACTTTTTAATTCTCTAATTCCAGATTATTTCTATTATTTTCTTCTCCAAATATAGTTTTTTTAATTTACTTTTTTAGTTGTTTTGGAAATAGCTGTGTTTTCTTTTCGACAATCTGAAAGCTGATTCAGGTGCTTTACTCTCAAATGAAAGGTCAGCATTTCTAGATTTCCCTCATGCAATTTTCTAACATTGTTACCTATTTTGTTTCAGTGTTAGGAGTTCTCTGACAAAGAATTTTAAAAACCAACCAATCCTAGGACATAGTGCGAAGGGAAAGAGGAGAGAGGCTAACTCTCTCTACCATTTGCAATGAAATCTCTGCTAAAGCTTCCTAGAAGTTGGTATGCCCAGTCCATCAGGAGTCATATTGTCTGATACTCTCTTAACTGAAATCTCGACTTCTTTATTACTTTGTGAAGCTCCTACAGCCACGTTAGATGAATTATCTGAAAAGCTATTAATAGGTTCATTCTGAATCCACCAAATAATCACATGTCCTGTCACAAGTCCATCAACGCTGGACTCATTGAAAATTCAAATCGTAAATTGTTTGCCAGGGAAATATGTGATCTATTTTCAGTGTGTGCTGGTGTTCAGTAAGATGCTGCAAAACTAGAAATAGAACACCTATTTTTAAATTGAACATAATATTTTCTTGAGCCACCACTAGATTCAATGCACTGCAAACAATGCAAATATGAATAAGACAAGCCTAACTCTCAAAGGTGGAGATTTCGAACTGATAGCACAGGATGTGTTTTTAAGACATGTGTTAAACAATCCTGTACATAATAAATGGTAGAGAATTTTGGTAAAGGGAGAATGAAGGGCTCATGGGTTCAGGGTAAAAAGGCAATTAAAGAAAGCTTCAAACATAGGTGACATTTGGGTTTGTCTTCAGGGAAAGACAGTGAGTGGAGAATATTTCAAGCAGCAGAAATCAAATGAGCAATAAAAGTAGAAAAGTGCAAATGCCTGATAAACATTTACTGAATGAAATGGTCCTAGCAACACTCAAATCTTTTTTCTTTTTTCTTTTTTTCCTTTTGGCAATGGTA
This sequence comes from Homo sapiens, assembly GCF_000001405.40. Classification (NCBI taxonomy): domain Eukaryota; kingdom Metazoa; phylum Chordata; class Mammalia; order Primates; family Hominidae; genus Homo; species Homo sapiens. Next base: position 79,515,398 of record NC_000004.12, on the reverse strand, counting down.
AGGATTTCCTCATCTTAAACTCTGAATTTTGGGGATGTTGAGTGTATTTTATCACTTTTTATAACTGATTTCCACAGATAAAGTGGTTGTTTCCATATCTATCCATCTGCTAATCAAGGATCATTTTGGAATTAAGTGTAAGGAAAATTTTTTTAAAAAAGGAGACCATGAAGCTGTGTTACATCTTGAAGTGCATTAAAATATAAAAACAAAAAATAGGAACACACTCCAAATGACTCATTTGTTTTCCAGTATTCCAGAACTTAGTGACAATAACTGGCAGTAGAATAATTTCACAGTGTCATCCTGGTGGAACATAGGGTTCTCATAAGAATACATTTCTATCTCCTTCAACATCACTATTAAAATGACTTATTTGTTTCTGATTAATTAGGACCCGGTTGCTTCCTTCTTGGCATTGCGTTTTTCCTCCTGTTCATCTTCTGGACAGGCTAGATCTGCGTGGGCATGTACCAGTTTGTGAGATTCTGGATCAGAACTCAGTGGCTTTGCAACAGTGATAAACCTAACTTCTGGTAACTGTGAATTTGTGTTCCAAAGTGCCACAAACCGCATGGTAAGATGCCACAAAAAGGAGCAGTAACTAGGTCGAGGTTTTGGCAGTCTCCACGGAGCAGTAGCTCCAATACTGGCATGCCAGTGATTAAATAGAACTAAGAAATATTTTTTCCTTATCTTCCTTTAGCAGAACAAAAGAGCTCAGATTAACTGGTGAGGAGTGCAGAAGAAAAAAGAAATCTTTTTAGAGAAGAGGAGTGTAACTGCCAACTATCTAAAATCTAATTATTTATGTCCAGTATGAACAGAACTCAAATAAGGGTACATACCATGGGTATAGCCAGAGTGTGTGTGTGTGTGTGTGTGTGTGTGTGTGTGTGTGTGTGTGTGTGTGTGTGTGTGTGTGTTGGGGGAGGGGTTTCTGTTAGAAGGGGGAAGAGGTGTGTCTTCTCTTGCTTTCCCGCAATGCTGTCATAGCCTATGGTTTGCAGCTGTCAACAGAGTCTTCAGAATAATGCCATTTCCCTAATGCTATCATAGCCTATGGTTTGCAGCTGTCAACAAAGTCTTCAGAATAATGCCATTTCCCTAGTACTTTTCCTTAGATCATCATTAGGTAAGTGCTAAGACATTTGCTATTTTGGAAAAGCAAAGCAATGTGCTAGACTTGGTAGTATAACACTGAACTCCAGGAGAGGCTAAGCCTCCTTCCTGGGAGCATGATAGGAAGTTCACTGTAGAGCACACTAATCATAAGTGTCATTGCTGTTCATGTTTTTCATATTTGCCCCATGCAAAGATGTACCCAACTCCCTAATTCTGAGTGTACTCTTTCCAATGAGTTCATGACTCCCAATAATTAAAAACTAAATATGCAAGAAAGCAAAAGACTAAAACAAAACTGGTGAGCAAACAATTGAAAAAAAAAGCATTGAGAAAGCTAATTGACATGCTTTGTAAAATGCCAGAATTATTACCTTTCTGTGTGTTTAGAAAAGAAATTATCTTAAAATGTAACACTTCTTTCTCTATTCATCCTAGTGAATCCAGTCGACAGGATTTAGCGCTGGGAAGAAACCCAGAAGGTTTGAAATCCTGTAAGAAAGAAAAGTATATTTTTAGAATTATGGTAACAGCTGCTAAGAAATGTATTTCTATTTTGTAGTTAGTCTGAGCTGCCTAACATAAATGTGTGGTAGAAAAAAGATAACAGAGATAAGGCAAGTGGAGAGAATTATAGCAAAGTGAACACTATCTTTGGTTGTTGTTGAAGGAAAAATTGAGTACTAAAGATGGCATTTTATCAAAATAAAACTATATATTGTACATCTAAGAGCTAGAATTAGATGTCTATCCTCTCCCTCTCTCTCTCTTTTTCTCTCCATTCTTCTCCTCCCGTCCTTGTATTTCTTATCTATTTTTAAATCTTCTCCTAATGGAATCTTAGGGAGTATTAACATAATAATATCGATCTCATTAAAAACCACCTTCTAATGTTCCCAAATCTGCTACCAATAGTCAAATACATAACCTATCAAAATTTTACATTAAAAATAACAAAGATATTTAAATAAAGCTCTAAAAAGTCAATTATTTTGCAAATGACTAAATAAAAATTTTATTATTGTTTATTTTCTCATGCAATTTTTATTTCTTAGATTTTATTTTTAAAGTATAGGGTAAGTACAAAGTACAAATAGAAATAAAAATGCATTGCAATTTCTTCACATAATGAAATGGGTATAATATTTCATATTTTGTCTGCCTGTGATTGGGTTTGTTAAAAAATAGTGACATCGGCCATGCACAGTGGTTCACGCCTGTAATCCCAGCACTTTGGGAGGCCAAGCAGGCGGATCATGAGGTCGGGAAAGCTAGATCACCCTGGCCAACATGGTGAAACCCTGTCTCTACTAAAATACAGAAAAGTTGGCCGGGCGTGGTGATGCACGCCTGTAGTCCCAGCTACTCGGGAGGCTAAGGCAGGGGAATCCCTTGAACCCATGAGGCGGAGATTGCAGAGAGCCGAGATTGTGCCACTGCACTCCAGCCTGGTGACACAGCAAGACTCTGTCAAAAAAAAAAAAAAAATATATATATATATATATGTATATATATATGTAGTGACTTCACATATTTGGGAAATGGTTAAATATTATCAAACATAATATATATTTGTGTTATGTTTCTACCTCTTGGGCTTATTTTGTCCTTGGATTTGATGGAAAGGGCCACTTCTCCATATGAAAGAAAATGGATGCTTTTTCTTTGAGGACTTTTCAATCTAGTCTCCACTGGGAAACAGCCTGGGCTTGGTATCAAAATGACATAATGTGCATGTGGTTTGTTACCTAGGGGCTGCTATAGAAATTTAATTTATTGTCTCATAAATTAACTACATTAATAACATACATATTGTTGTTATGGTTAGTAACAATTATTAAATGAATACCTGGGAGGGTCAATGTTTTACAGGTTGAAGAAATCTCAAAAAATGCTCTTAATAATTATTCCTTGGTCTAGAAAAACACATTTTAATTAGTCCTTAATTTTGCTCTCCTAGATTTTCTTGGAAATATTCTATGGCTTTTTCTATATTCCATACACACATATAAAAGCCAGCACACCATATTTTTCTCATTCATATCCTAGACGATGAAATTTACCATCATTATCAATGATTACTCCTTCTACTCCCTTCCCCAACAGCTCAAATGTATGTGCTTATTCTCACTCCCTTTCTCTTTCACTGTGTCCTTCTTGTGCTATGCTGTTCTGAGCACCATAATTTTTACAAGGGAAAAATAAGTGGCTAAATAGTATTGGGACCTTTGAAATATTGAGCAATAATGATACATACATCTGCATGTACAAAATACCTATTTTCAGAAATACACTTTATGAATCAGAGAGAAGAGGATGAGAAAATAATATTCATCATGGTGGAAAGTTTGAAAACTGAAAGATTGGTTGAGAGATCAGACTTATTTGAAAAGAGCAGATTTTTTAAATGGTGACAATTCATTTAAAATTGCCACTGTTTAACTGTTTTTCTTCTCTCCCTAAATCCCTCCTCTTCACTGTGATGTATTCCATAGATCTGAAAGGGTACTCCTCAGAGGACTCAAAAGGTTTTTGCAATTTGTTTAACACATAGCTCACCTCCAACCCCCATACCACAACTTATTCCAGATTTTACAATGTTATTTTTCTCCTCTACTGGCAACCATTGAAGAAAAATAATTAATAATAATGTTGTTTGTATTTGACCATGATATATGCCCAGGAGCCACTTAAAAAAATACTGTCATCAACATGGTAGCCTGGGATAAGATGATTATAGGGAATCTTTGCACTTTATTGTTAGAACCATGTCTTACTCTTCCTTATACTCACAGCATCTATCAGAAGGACTAACGTAGCAAGAGATAGTCAAATATCTGTTGCACCAAATTTTATTTAATTTTTTATTTCCATTTTGAAATATAAATTGAACATTTCAAGTTTAATTTTCCCAATCAGTACTGTTTACTGAATTCCAAACATTTTCTCCCCAAATTAGTTACATGATCTAACAGAGACCAAAAAAAAAAAGTATAAAAGCTGGTCAACTGAAAGCCAGTTATGGACATTTGGTTGTTAATCAAAACATTATCTGTTATGTATTGAGTAATTCTATATGTTAGGGACTGTTTTAAGTGTTTTACATATTTAACCTCATTTAATCCTCAAAACAAAAGTATAAGGCAGGTACGATTATTATTTCTAATTTACAGATGAGGAAATTCAGGCACAAAAAAGATAAGCTACTTGCCCAACAGAGAGAGTCAGGATTTGAATCAATGAAACCTAAATAGAGAGTGAACAAATTTAAAACTAGACTTTCAGGTTTATATGACAACCTGGGACAAATTTGATTTTGATTTCCACAGTAGATAGTAGTATATATTTATATGTTATAACAGATTTGGTTTCCACAGTAGATAGTAACATATATTTATAATACCAAACAGGACACAAAGTTTAATTATTTAAACTTTCTTTTTCTATACTGTTCTGACCACCATAATTTTTACAAGGAAAAAATAAGCAGCTGAATAGTATAAGGACCTGTGGAATATTGAGTAATAATAATACATCTGCATGCACCAAATATATATTTTCGGAAATATACTTTATGAATGAGATAGAGAGAGGAGGATAGGAAAATAATATTCATCATGGTGAAAAGCTTGAAAACTGAAAGATTAGTTGAAAGATCAGATTTATTTGAAAAGAGTAGATTTTTTAAATTGCCACAATTCTCTTCTCCCTGAATTTGAGTCTCTGCTACTTCTCCCATCGAGAGAATTCTATTTCTCCATTTCTTGAATTGAATCTTGTAACTTGATTTGGCAAATAGAATGTGGTCAAAAGGATTTGCCAGTTCTGAGCCTAGGTTTCAAGGAGTTTTCCGTGATTCCACTCTTGCCCTTGGAGCCCTACAACTACCATATATAATCAAACCCTGCCTACCCTGTTGGTTGTGAAGAGAAATGTGGTCCAGTAGCACTATCACTCCACCCAACAACCAGCCAACTCCCAGAAACAGAGTCACCTAGATGACCTGCTAACTAAACATAAATGCATGGGCAGGTCCAGTCAAGATCAATCAGGCCTGGATCAGATCAACACAAAAGTCCATCTGATCCACAGACTTGTGAAAAGTAATACATTGTTATTATTTTAAGGATCTAAGTTTTAGAGTGGTTTGTTATGCAGTAATAGGTAATGATACAGCATGTATTACAATGACTTAGATATTGGTAGTCCCGCTTTAATGTGAAAATGTGCTTGGTATTTTCCTGGAATGCCATGACTCAATATCACTCATTTTTAACTGTTTAAACTTTTTTAACAAATCAAAATGAAAAGAAAATTTGCTTATCTGAGAAATTTCAGCTTTGCTGTCTACGGCAGTGGCATTACCATAATGATTTGTCATGCAATTTTATTTTCAAAGCCCAAAATTAATTACAAACATGAAACAAATCATGGTGTTAAGACATACATTAAAAACAAATTATGATCTCAAAATGCATAATTTACAGCTTGGAAAATTAATTGATTAAACCCAAAGTGCATAAAAATAATTGGAAAAACTGAGGACTGAACAAACCATTGACAATATTATCTAACCGAGCAGAGAATAATGTATAATGAGCAAAACTCACAGCCAAAAAAAAAAAAAAATCAATAGTCTAATTAAATCATAAGAACCTGGGTGAAGATAAGTTGAAATTCCAGTTTGGGGATATCTCTATATTACAGTGATGGGCACAAGAAATCAAATCCCATCTTTCCAATGAAGTCAAAATAGAAATTATAATATTGACATCAAAATCAATCATAATTTTTTAAAAAGATGTGCAATAGATTTTACATATTAAAGCAGCACTTTACACACGTAAGTAATTTAAATGTGCTCTATCAGTTATCTATTACCATTTATTCTATTCTTTTCATGTTCTTTTGACCTGGCTTTTGTGAAATATATACATATAAAATGTATTCAAGATATTATCTATAAATCAGAAATGATAAGAAAATAAAGCAAATAACACAGCATTTTTTATACCAAATAATATTTTGTTCTAAGCTTTTTAGATTATTTAATACCCATTTTAAGAATGATGAAGATTTGAATTTTAATATTTAGAACTAATATTATAGGCATTTAAACATATATGATGGTCAAAGAGTATGTTTCAAGCTATTGTCTACATGTTAAAGTTTTTAGGTAGTCAAATTTCCATTGTATGGTGTATAAAATGTGTTATGAACAACTTCACAGAGAAGTTCAACACAAATAAAACATTTAATAATCATTGTTTTCATAACAACCTTCAATTCTGCTTATATTTAATATTGAAAAATTGAAGTAGACTAGGTTATTCAGTTTATCCATAAAAGTTTCTATGGGCTCAACTTTTTACCAAAAAATTAAAACTCCATATTTGGATCCCCTTTGGTCAGAGTTTGGCAGCTTTTCAGAGGAATTATATCACTAATTCACCCATGCCTTCATTTGGGTTTGCCCCATAGCACTTTTGGAAACCAGATCTTATATTCAGGTACTTTATTTGGGATTGATTCAGGCAGGAAAAGTGAGTGAATGGGGAAAGTGAGCAACGAAGGGTGAAAAAAAATCAATAAATAGACACGGATTTACATTTTGCCATTGTTAGCAACTGGGACTTAAACTTTCTGGAATTGAATTATGCGGAGAGCAGTAAAATCCTGTGAACTAGCTGGACTCTCAGTCCCTGTGGAAAAACTTGATAAACTCTAAGTGTTATTTGAAGTCAAGAGTTATAAGAAGATAAAAGAAAAGAATGAATGACCTAAACAACAGAACTAAAAACGTGATCTACACATTCTAGTAAACTACTTGTTTGTTCATTTATTCATTTACTTATTCACAAATCCTATTTTCTAAGTACCGATTATAAGGACACTTATCAAAGTCTTTGGTGATTAACGTAATCTTATTCTTGCATAGGAGACCTGTAAACACATATTTTGCACTTTACTAAAATATGTAGAGTAATGTGATTCCTGAATTTATTCATGCTATCATTCAAACATTGTTTAGTGAATAGCTTTATGGTTGTGGGTTGTTGTTAAGAAGTGTTATGAAGGTAATTCAGGAGAGAAAGGATAGTGTTTTCCAGAAGTAATGTTGATAAAATTGGCCATCCATATGCAAAAATAAAAAGCCCTCAAACTGTGCCTCATACCATACACAAAAATTAACTAAAATGGATTATAGATCTAAATGTAAAACTGCAAATGATAAAAGTTTGAGAAGAAAACTTGAACGAAAAATCTTTGTGACTCTGAATTAGGCAAAGTTTTTTCAATATGATGCAAAAATAATGACCTCTAAAAATTAAAAGTGATATATTATATCTTATTGCAATTAAAAGCTTCTGCTTGTCAAAGCAACTTCAAGAAAATGAAAAGCCATAGACTGAAAGAAGATATTTGCAAAGCATATATCTGATAAAAGACATATATACAAAGTACATAAAGAACCCTTAAACACAACAAGAAAAAGCAAACAACCCAATTAAAATAAGCAAAAGATTTAAATGGACACTTTACTAAAAAAGATATAATAATGGCAAATAAGAACACAAAAAGAGGTTCACATGATTAATCAACAGAAAAATGCAAATTAAAACAATAATGAGATACGGCTACACACCAATGAGGGTGGCTAAAATAAAGACTGATCATATTATGTCTTGGGGAAGGTGCAGAAGAACTAAAACTTTCGTACATTGCTACTAGGAAAGTAAAATGGTAAAACTACTTTGGAAAACAGTTTGTCAGTTTCCTAAAAAAAGGAAAAATATAACCCCCATATTATCCAAATAATCCAAGTCTAGATATTTTCCCAACTCAACAGAAAGCATATATTTATGGAAAGACTAGTACGTGAATGTTCATAGTATTAAGAGTTTTATTTGTAAGAGCCAAAAATTGGAAACCATTCAAATATCTATTGACAAGTGAACAAGTGAACAAACTTTAGTATTTTCATACAATGAAATGTTATTAATACTTAATAATAAAAAGGAATGAACAATTAATCCACACAACATGTATAAATCTTAAAATTATTATGCTAACTGAGAAACTTCAGTATCTACTATATGATTCCATTTAGCATCTACTATATAGTTCTATTTACATAAAACTATAGAAAAGGCAAATAATCTATAGTAGCATAAGTTATATCAGTGGATCCCTGGGGAGAGGGAAAAAGAATGGGGGTGGGTGGAAAGGAAAGACTTAAAAGGAACACTAGGGAATGTCTGAAGGTAATGGATATGTTTCTTATCTTGATTGTAGTGATTGTTTCACAGGTGAAAACGTTAGTCAAAACTTATCAAATTGTGTACTGTAATTTATTATACGTTAACCATACTTCAATAAAGCTGTTAAATAAAAGAACCCTGTTCTGGTATAGGTTGTGTCAAGCATATATGGAAATTGTAGCCTTATTGGTCATAAGCATATTAATTGCCCAAACTGAAAAAATCTAGATGTGACTAAATCTGAGTGCAGGGCAGAGAGGTTGTCCTGAGAAGGGAGTACCAAATGATACAGTTGAAAGAAACATAACAGCTAGAAGATAGTGATAAACTAGGACTGAGGGGATAGATGAATGGCCCCAGGAAAAAATACAATCTAGCTGGGACACATGGGATTCGTCCCTCTCCTGACATTTAATATTTTCCTCTGTGCCATCTTTGGCTACTGTCGCCTGCCCTACATTACTGCTACCAAAATTCTAAATATTGCCATTTCAAGTGAATGATTGTTTTTTTCCAATGTGCAAAAGAATATGCTGGCAATATGAACATTTCCACAAGTGCAAATAATGAGTTCTTTGTTTTAGAATTTGAAATCAAATTTGGTAAGTAAATGTGTTAATGTTCAGGGAACTTTATGTCTGAGATGATCATGCTACTATAAAGACACATGCACATGTATGTTTATTGCGGCACTATTCACAATCCTATGCAGCCATAAAAAACGATGAGTTCATGTCCTTTGCAGGGACATGGATGAAGGTGGAAACCATCATTCTGAGCAAATTATCACAAAGAGAGAACACCAAACACCTCATGTTCTCACTCATAGGTGGGAATTGAACAATGAGAACACTTGGACACAGGGCGGAGAACATCACACACTGGGGTCAGTCAGGGGGTTAGGGGCGGGGGAGGGATAGCATTAGGAGAAATACCTAATGTAAATGATGAGTTAATGGGTGCAGGAAACCAACATGGCACATGTATACATATGTAACAAACCTGCAGGTTGTGCACATGTACCCTAGAACTTAAAGTATAATAATAGAAAACAACAACAACAAAAAAAACCACGTTTGATCACTCAACTGTCAAGTTGAATACTTCCTATCCTCCTTTCCAAAGCCAGCAAGTTAAAAGTATTTAAATGATTTCCTGAAACACTGTGGTCAGTAGTTGCCTCTGCAGAGAGTGTTCATTTAACACAGGACTGTAAAACTTTAAAACCAATCCATGCTTCTTCCTGACATATAGCTTCAACACCCGTTTCTCTTACAGCTAAAGCTCTTTCTTCAATTTAATTCGCCTTCAGACTCTTAGACAGAGTGTTATACCATATTTTGCTGTTAAATCATGAAAAATGATAGAATCTCTACCCTTTTGCAAGAGTCATTGTCAAATTATGCCCTCCAATAGGTAATATACAGCTTGAGTCAGTAATTTCAACTGTTTGTATGCATTTCAGGTTTGGCAATTACCCTTCCAAGCTGTAAATTGCCTATTTTGAGAGCATAATTTGATTTTTAATGTTTGTCTTAACAGCCTGATTTGTTTTGTCTTTTGATTTGTTTCACATTTTAGTAATTAATTTTAGACTGAAAATGTCTCTCCTAAAAGGAAGGTGGAGTTTGGAAGCCTTTGAGAACTACAGCCATTTGATACTGACATAAATTTCTGTCTAGGGTCATAGACCTTAAGCAAAAAATGCCAGGCTCCATTTTCTTTTCTTTGGAAAGAAGTCATCACTTCTTTTCCAGGAGATATGCTATTTTGAGTTTCAAATGCACACTCCATAACCCCCCAAATATAAATACACATGAATTAGCAAAATTGGCCCTAAGAAATATACTCAAAACAGAAGTGATATTTTTCAAGGCATCAGTCTGAAAATAAAGACTAAAATGTGTCTTGGGGTTATATAAGAGTATTTGTTCTCAAGTGTCTTTTGAATTCATTCTGCGTCTTTAGCCTACTGACAAAAACTGTAAGGTGAAAGCAAATCTCTGGTTCCCAGACACTGCAAAAATTCTGTTACAGTTACTTAGGAAACACTAACACTTTTGACTTAGATCTATAGCCTTTAATACCCTCAGTAACATTTTTAGTTAGTTCTGTGGGATGCAACAAGTTTTTCCTCTTATACATTTTTTTGAGAATGAGTGTAGCAATGAAGAAGGTAACCAGAAAGTAAGATGTGTAAAAGCATGAGAAGGAGATCATAGCTGATGGAGAAGGGAGAAATAAGGGACACTCAGGAATAGAAATTAGAAATAAAATTGGAGGGTAAAGCTCTCCATGACTTGTAAAACATGTGAGGGAACCTCTCCAAATCATTTAATAATTCCCTAATGACACCAAATTGCCAAACTATAAAAAAGTTTGATTTCTGCTCTATTTTTGCAAGAACATAGAGTACCCAATGTCTTACAACTGGTGGGCAAATTGAATTAGAGGTTTTTTTTTTTTTTTACATTTAATGTCAATAACACATTCATGAAAGACGGAGTTTCTTTCCATTTGCTATATGTAAAATGTGCATAAATTATAAAAACAGAATGATGTCTGAATGTATCGCCTGTTCCAAGTGGGGAAAACTTTCTATATTTCAATTACTATTTAGAAGTATTGGACAATGTAGATAGGAGAGAAGACCAATTAAATGGTTAATTATCAGTCTAGAGCACACATGTTCTCCTGGAACTATGTGTTGGATATTTAACCCTTCAATTTACCGAATTCAAACATTCCAAATAAAAAGTACTTGTGCTTGGGGAGTTGGGAGTGAATTTGAGATCTTTTGGGGGGTGGCTTTTTTCCACACCTACTTGTTTTATGACGATTGTAGATTCATACAGAGTTGCAAGAAATAATTTCGAGGAATCTCATCCATATTTCTCCAGGTTTTCCCAAAGGCAATATCTTGCAAAATTATAATACAATATCACAACTGGGATACTGACATTGATGTGGTAGAAATACAGAAACTTCCGTCGCCACAAGGATTCTTCATGTTGCACTTTTATATTCATACCCACTTTTCTTCCACTCACTCCACCCCCTCTTTAATCCCTAGTAACCACTAATAATCTTCTCAATTTCTACAACTTGATCATTTCAAAAATATTATATAAATGAAATCACAAAGTATGTAACTGGAATCAACTTATTTTCACTCAGCATAATTCTCTAGAGATTTACCAGGTTGTGGCATGTATCCGGAGCATTTTCCTGTTCATTGTTGAGTAGACCACTACGGTATGGACGTACCATAGTTTAGTCATTCTTCCATTGAAGGACATCTAGGTGGTTCCAAATTTTTTCCTATTATAAGTAATGTTGCTATGAACACTACTAATGTGCAGATTTTCACGTGAATCTAAGTTTACATTTTTCTGGAATAAATGTCTAGGAGTACAATTGCTGGGTTTTATGATAATTGCACGTTTAGTTTTTAAAGAAACTGCCATACCATTTTCCAGAGTGGTTGTCCACTTTACATTTATGCAAGTAAGTATGAATGATCCTAGTTTCTCTGCATCCTCACCAGCATCTGGTGTTGTTACAATTTTTTGTTTTAGACGTTTTAATAGGTGTGTAGGGATATCTTCTTGTGGTTTTAATTTGCACTTCCCTAACAGCTAATGGTGTTAAACATATTTTCAAGTAATTATTTTTCAACTTTATAGTATTTGGAAAAATGCCTGTTCATGTCTTTTGCCCCCTTTCTAAATGGATTGTTTATTTTCTTAATTTTGAGTTTTGAGATTTCTTTATATGTTCTAGACATAGGATAGATACTAGATTCTTGGGAGATTTGTGATTTGCAAATCTTTCTCTTAGTTTGCAGATTGTAACTCTTTGCATAGCCCCAGATCCCAAAGACTTTGTTTTAAGTTTTGTAGTTTTACATTTTATATTTAAATCCATAATCTATTTTGAGTTATTTCAGTTTACAGATGAGGTTTAAATTGAAGTTTTTTTTTTCTTTTTTGCTGGAGATTTTAAATAGCTCCAGTACTATTTGTTGAGACTCTATCTTTGTTGATGGATTTGTTGAGACTCTATCTTTCTTCTATTGTATTTCTTTTACAATTTTGTTAAAAATCAGTTGCATTTATTTATATAGATCTATATTTTGGGTTCTGTATTCTGTTCCACTGTTCTATGTGTCTATCCCTCTGCTAATACCACACAGTCTTGATTACTGTAGCCATATAAGTCTTGAAATCAAGTAGACTGCTTTCTCCCATTTTATTCTACTTTTTCTAAATTGTTATGGCTACTCTAGTTTCTTCATTTTTCATATAAATTTTGAAATAATCTTACCTATATCTATAAAAGTATTGTTATGTTTTGATAGAAATAGCATTAAATCTGCATATCAATTGGAGGAGATATGAAATTTTTAGCATACAAGTCTTTCATATCTTTGGTTAGAGTTACACCAAAATATTTCATTTTTTGAGCAATTGTAAAGAAAACTGTATTTTTAATTTTACTGTACTGACGTCTATTGCAAACAGAAATTTGATTTTTGTAAGTTAACTTAGTATTCTACAATCTTGCTTAACTCATTTATTAATTCTAGAAATTTTTTGTACATTACTTTGTATTTTCTACATAGACCATGCTATCTGCAAATAAGCACAGTTTTATTTATTTCTTTCTAATCTGTATGACTCCTTCTCCTTTTGTTTCCTTCCTGCAGTGGTTAAAACTTTCCATACTATGCTGAATAAGAGTGGTGGCAGCAGATAAGTCCCACTTATTAATAGACTTGGGGAAAGCATTCAGTCTTTTACTATAAAGTGTAATTTTAGCTGCAGTTTTTTTGCTTCACATATTTTGCAGCTCCATTGTTTGGTTTATATACATTTAAAATTGCTACACCTTCTTGATAAGTTGATCCTCTTTATCATTATGCAATCTCCCTTTCTGTGTCTGGTAATTTTCTTTGCAGCTATGTCCATTTTATCTTATAATAAATAGAAATATTCCTGCCTTATTTTGATTAAGGTTTGCATGATGTATTAGTCTGTTCTCTCATTGCTATAAATACCTGAAACTGGGTAATTTATTTAAAAAAGAGGTTTAATTGCCTCACAGTTCTGCAGGCTGTGCAGGAGGCATAGTGGTTTCTGGGGAAGCCTCAGGAAACCTTTACTCATGGCAGAAGGCAAAGTGGGAGCAGGCATCTTTACAGGGGGCCAGGACAGGGAGAAGAGCGAGAAGGGGAGGCTACATACTTTTCAATCACCAGATCTCTTGGTAACTCCCTCTTGCCACGTCAACACCAAGGGGGATGATGCTAAACCATCAGAAGGTGCCCCCATGATCCAATCACCACCCACCAGGCCCCACCTCCAAAACTGTGGATTACAGTTGAACACGAAATTTGAGTGGGGATACAGAGCCAAACCATATTACATGATACAGATTTTTTCCATTACTTCACTTTCAACTTATCTATCCTGTTATGTTTGCAGTGAGTTTCATGTAGGCAGCATATTGTTGATTCGTATTTTTAATTCACTCTGCCAATCTCTACCTTTTAATTGTTATATTGAGACTATTTCTATTTAAAGTAATTATTTATATGTTAAGGCTTAAGTCTGGCATCTTATTTTTCATTCTGTTGTTCTTTCTGTTTCTTTTAAAATGTTACTCTCTTCTTTTTCTTGCCTTTTTGAGGGTAAACTGGAAGTTTTTTAAAACTCTATTTTTATTTTATCTATATGCCACTTGAATGAATCTCTTTGTATAGCTTTTTTACTGTTTTCTCCAGGTAGTATATATATGCTATATATATATTATATGTATATATTGTATAAATATTCTATAGATAGATGATTGATTGATCGATTGATCGATTGATTGATTTCTCTAGTCATACTTTTACCACAAGCCTAGTGGTCACACACTCGTAGTTTTCCTTTACCTGAATATGTTTTCATTTCTCTTCAGTTTCTGGCAGATATTTTCACAGAATATAGAATTTTCTTTTCTTTTCTTTCAGCACACAAACATGGAAATGTTGTGCCACTTCCTCTGTCACAGGTTCTGAAGCGAACACCATTGTAATGTCAGTTTTTTAGTTTTTTTCCCCTATAAGGTGACATTTTGATCTTGATGCTTTCAAGATTTTTAGTTCTTGTCTTAAGTTTTTAACTATTTGTTTATGATATGCCTTGATAGGAGTTATTCAGAGATTTATCCTGTTTAAGTTACACTCAGCCTCTTAATCTTTAAGTACATATCTTTACCCAAAATATGGAAAATTTTCAGCTGTTATTTTTGAATACTTGTTCCATTCCACCCACTTTTTTCTCCCCTTCTAGGACTCTGATTACATAAATTTTAGATGTCTTGTTATAATTCCACAGAACTCTGAGGCTCTTTTTATTTTGTTTAGCTTCTTTTCTCTGTGATTCACATCAGGTCATTTCTGTTGTTCTAATGTTCTTTCCTCAAGTACAATGAGTCTTTCCTCTGATCCTTTTATTCTGTTATTGAGTCCACTTATGTTTTTATTTGGGTTATTGTATTTTTCAACACTAAATTTTTTACCTAGTTCTTCTTTATATCTTCTATTTCCTTATTGAGAATTTCCATTTATTTTATTTGCTTCAAGTGTGTTCATAATTCCTTGTTAAAGATTTTTTTTTATTGTGACTGCTTCAAAATTTTTGCTAGATAATTGTGAGATCTCTAGCATTTGGTTTTGGAGTCTATTAATTTTTTATTACATTTAAGTTGAGATTTTTCTGGTTCTTGGTATGATTCACAATTTTGTAATGAAACTTGGACATTTTAGATATATGTTATGAGACTGTATATTTTATTTAGACTTTCTGTTTTAGCTGGCTTTCTCTGATGCCACTCCAGCAAGAGAAGAGGCGAAGGGGATTGCCTCATTACTTCCAGATGGGGTTAGAAGTCCAGGTTCCTCACTCAGCCTTCACTGGCACACAAGGAATGGTGGAGCCCTTTTGGCCGTTGGGTGGTGGTGGGAGTTTGACATCCTACTAAGCCTTCACTGTTACTTCTCTGGCTGGGAGAGGTAGGAGAGCCTCACTACTGTTCCCCAGATGGCCAGACATGGGAGTGATAGTGAGATTGCCTTCTTACTGCCGGGCAGTAGAGAAAGTCAGTGGGGGAATGAGCATCTCATTGCTGTTAAATTAGAGCAAAATTATAGGCTTCCTACTCAGCCTTCTCTTATACCACCCCAGCAAGAAAATTGGGGTAACTTGTTTTATCTTGGCAAAAATGACCGTGTAGGGTCCCCATGTGATCTTTGCTAGTATGGGTGGAGTGGGGCCACAGATTTTTCTATGGTGTTTAGCTGAAGTACAGTAGCTTTTCTCTCAAACACTTTTGTTATCCTGCTAAGCACCTTTTCAGGATTAACTAAAGAGAGAAGGCTTTTGTTGGAGCTGGGTGTTTTTTCTTTGTTGTTTTTGTTGTTGTTGTTGTTGTTTGTCTTGTACCATTTGTGTTTCTTGATTGCTGTTTACTTCAGGTCCAAGTCTAGGATATACGAGGCAATAAATACCTACCTACATACATACATTCACATGAAACTTACCACCATGTACTTCCTTGGGACTCAAAGTCCCTAACTGCTCTGCCTTCCTTTCTCCACATTTCAAAGTCTTCTATTTGTTTTGCAAATAATTTCCAGGGTTTTTGTTTATTTAGTGAGAGGAATAGGAAAAATTAAATCTATTATATTGGAGGCTATTTTTAAAAAGCAAGTACTGAACACCTTTTTTTCTTGTCGGTTTTAAGTTACTAAAGGAGTATGAATCCCTTTACCAAATTGTTTTGATGGTAAAATCTAAAAATCATTTTGGTCATGATACATTAATCAAAATAGATGCAAATGCAATAATTGCAAGTGAGAAATTCACATTAATTTATTTATATCAATAATGTATTCATATTATTTTGTCTTGAAATGGCGATAATTTTAGTAATATTTTAATATTTGATATTTAACCTGAAAATTAGAAATAAAAATAAGTCCGACCAAGTTGCCACAAATAAAGCAAAACAGAAAATTATCCCTTTACCTGGGGCTAAAACTTTTCTTCCTCCTAATATTTTCTAAATTTCTTATATCATTTGTAATATATTCCTAACTTAAGCAAAATAACACACTTTAGAATTTCAAGAGCCTAGCAATATAGATGAGGCAAAGAGACATTTTCTCAATCAACTTAGTGTTTGGATAAATCCTAATACTCTGAAAACCTAGTGTTAAAGTGAAACTGCACTGTCCGTTAAATTTCATGGAAGATGATATGAAGAAAAAAACAATAATTTGTGTTATTTGTCACAGATATGAAATAATTATGAGATTTTACAATCTTGTAAAATATGCTCCTACAAACTGCATAACTTCTAAAAAGAATGTATAATTTCACAATATCTTAACAAGTATTATGTCAAAGTCCTCCTAAAAACAAACACAGATGTCTAAAGTGATTTCAACAGCAGAGGCCAAATACCCTACAATTGGTAGGCTAGTTTAAGTATCTTCTCAAGGATTTTTCCATTTAGCTTAACTTCTGAAGGACACGAAAGTTCAAATAAAAGGGAAGAATGAAAACAATTATGCCAAGATACACTGTGTTACTACAGAGAAAAGAGAGCCAGGATCAGTTTAAAGAGGTACCTGTATTTGATATAGTTTGTGTAAATAAAACTAACTTACTGCTATAGCCTGAACCTTTGTGCCCTTTCCATCCCAAAATTCATATGCTGAAACCTAATCCCCAATGTGATAACTTTAAGAAGTTAGAGCCTTCTAGAGGTGACTGGGGCATGAAAGCAGAACTCTTGTGAATGGGATTAGTGTAAGCTAGTTTGCTCCTTTCATCCTGTGAGGACACAGTGAGAAGTTGGTAGTCTGCAACCTGGAAGAGGGCCCTCACCAGAACTTGACCACGTTGGCACCCTCATATTGCACTTCCTACCCTCCAGAAGTGTAAGAAATAAATTTCTGTTGTTTATAAGCCATATAGTTTATGATATTTTGTATAGCAACCTGAATGTACTAAAACACTTATATCATGACTATATAAGTAGTTTTCCAATACATGAAGCAATGTAAGCATCATCTTATCCTCTTCTAACTCTATTGTCTTACATAAATACAGATGTTTAGCATTTTTCACTTCATTTCCTCTATATATTTCTTGCCTCAGCTTAATGGAAGAGGCAATGTGCTATAAGGAAGCCATGCAGTAAAAGTTCAGTGTTTCGAGAGGTTTACC
This sequence comes from Homo sapiens, assembly GCF_000001405.40. NCBI lineage: Eukaryota > Metazoa > Chordata > Mammalia > Primates > Hominidae > Homo > Homo sapiens. Next base: position 79,497,733 of record NC_000004.12, on the reverse strand, counting down.
TCCTGCTTCTGTGCAGATTATTTTATCATTAGCAAGCCAAATAAGCCATTCTCTTTTGTTAGATAAAATGGGATTGATAATAATAATTAATGATAAAAATAATAACAAAAACAACTGCTACCAAAACAATGGTCTGCCTGCCTTAAAAGCATTAGCTTCTCAAATTCTAGAGCATACCACAGGTTGTTCTTTTTATGGTACATGCTTATAAAACAATCATCTTGATTCTTAAAAATGAAACCAGTCTCATCCATATCATTGTCACTGATACAAGTGCATTTTATTTGCACTTATGTAGCATGAAATAGTGCATGAAAGCCTTTTATGGTGATAAAATAACTTCTTAACTAGGGTGAAAAAGGAAAACTGTTAACTTGGGTTCACAGGACTAATGCTCACATATAATTGTATCTATAAATGTCCTAGATGCTATGATCCCTCCCATATGTGTAATCCTCCTGTTGATGTCAATCCAAAATACTATGCTCATGTTACGGTATCTCCTCTACATCCTTATTGTAAATTCACATTCTGAGTTAGAGCAGCTGAACATCTAGTCCTCAAACAGCTGACTCCAATTTTTCCTTCCCTGTCCATTCCTACCCTCACTGTCATAAGATGGGCACATTCTTTGCTCCCAAGAAAGATGCTTGTCCCTTGTTTTGTAAAACACAAAACAAATAAAGAAACAAAAGAAACTAAATAACACCTCCTTGAAGATAAGATATACTACAGAAATGTTGTTACATTGAACTAAATTGCATTCCACAGAAGATAGAAGAGGGTATCATGAATGTATCAAAACAACTAAGTTAAACATAAAATAAACTACAAATCTTTTTCATGCCTGAATCTATCTCCTTTTTTTCACTTTTCTCTCCTCACCAAAATACTGAATGGGAATGAAACAATTCAGATATCTAGATTTATAAATCTATAAAATTTTAAATTTTCTATCAGTACAAATAAATTAAAGCAAAGCAAATAATCGGCAGAATTTTTGAACATGTACTCTAGAAGTGTTTTGTTATTTCTATATCTGTACATTTTATAATTTATTGAGTTTCAATATTTTATTGAAAAATATATCATGATTCAATCCAGCAAAGTTGTAGACGGTGGCATGCCTCCAACATAGGACTAACTGATTAGTTTAAGCACATCAGAGACTGTATCTTCAGTTGTCCCTCAGTATCTGTGAGGGATTGTCCCAGGACATCTGTCCTACCCTGCGCTGCCCCTGCAGATTACAAAAACCAGTGATGCTTAAGTACCTTATATAAAATGGCATTGTATTTGCATATAACCAACTCACATTGTCCCCTATAATTTAAATTATCTCCAGGTTATTCATAAAATGTAATACAATGTAAATGCTATGTGAATAGTTGCTATACTGTATCATTTTTTGTTTTGTGTTAGTTTTACTGGTGTACTTTTTTTTCTGACATTTTCAAAGGCATGATTGATGGAAAACATGGATACAAAACCCATGGATATGAAGGACTGACTATAGACTTACAATGCTTGAGTATACTATAAACATAATAATGCTTCAGTTTAGAATGTTGATTTTAGCATCTATTTCCTAAGATGAGAAGAAAAAAATGTATCTTCCTTTGCTCTGAGTGGTTTCATCTTTTCTTTGACATTTTGATAGCAAAAAAGATTTTTAACTCAATTTAATAGTTGTAGGAATATGTCTACTAATAATTGTACTGATTTCTCCAGAACAAAATGAACTGTATATCCAACTCTCTTCAAACTGTCATGCTTATCTCAGTGTGTATGTGTCACTATAAGATGAGAAAGCCTGTCAACACCAACTTCTTCCTTCTAAACAAGAACACTAGGATGTTCATTTCTCATTGAAAATTTGGATTTCTGAGCTGTCTCCTTCCCTTAACTCCTACCCTCCAACACAGAACATGCCTGACATCAGACCCTTACTCCTGAGCCTTTTCCCACTTCATTCACCTGACAGCCTCCTCCACAACAGACATCTTATCAGACGTGACTGATTGCTATAATCTGTACTCTGGGCAGCCATTAAGCAAATTACCTGAATCATTGCAAGGATTAGTCTCATTAACACATGATTAGCATCAAATTAAAATAATGAGTGTTTAACTTCTGATGTCTTCCAGTTGTTTGAACAGCTTGATCAGCCACACCAGGCTGGCAGGGAGGTGGGGGTGTCAAAGAGCCACAGAAAAAAAGGGAGGCAGCACTGTGCAAGACATAGTACAGCTCACCAGTAGAATGAGGTAAGATCAGACTCAAACTGTCTGGATGAAAGGTTTCTTTCAAACAGCAAAGATGCCCGGTCCAAACAGAGGTGTCTCTCTCTCTCTCTCTCTCTCTCTCTCTCTCTCTCTTTCTCTCTCATTGGCACTGTACTCCTAACCATCCATCTGAATCAAGGCTTTACATACTAATGGTGCACAATCTCGCCCGCTCCACATCCTGGATATTTTATTTCCGCTGGGCTTCCCTGTCTCAGGAGCACAGAATGCAGCTTTTCTCTTTCCTTTTCAAAACTTTATCAGACTTAAGACCCCTAAAGTGCTGGGAGTATGGTAGACTGAAGATTAGAGCACAGATCCTCCCGAGTTCCCATATTTGTAGCTGGAAATGGCTGACCAAATATCAAAACAACAGGAAGTTTGCATCAGCTCTGGAAACTGTGAAGAATATCATCCACATATAGAAAGTTAAAATAATCTGCTAGATCCTACATAGACTGGTCCCAACTTACGATGGTTTGACTTATGGTTTTTTGACTTTAAGATGGGTTTATCGGTGTATTAAATGCGTTTAGACTAATGATACTTTTGACCTATGATGGATTCATCCAGATGTTACCCCATTGTAAGTCAAGGAGCATCTGTGCCCATGTCGAAGATTTGATGGAAGCCTAAAGGACCAACTCACTTTTGTCCTACCTGTGGAACATCAGCACTTATGGAAAGTAGGCGGGTAGCTTACAGTGACCCTTCCACTCCAAAACTTAGGGCACCTTATCTGTCTGGTGATGGTCAAGACAATCAGAGAGCCTGGACGAGCTCTTTTTGCCTGAGCTAGTGAATAAAATAAACAGCTGTTGTGATAAATTTCTCTATCATTCCCTTGAAAAAGATTAATATGAGGAGTGTAATGTTATGGAAGAAACAATCTAAGATCAGGAAAAAAATGTGAAGATAAAAATCATTGCTAATATAAACACCCACAGTTAGGTATTTCAGGAGAGGAAAACAACAAATCATTTCCTCTACTCATCTTAGGTTCTCCAGCAGAGGCCCTGTGAATTAGACTAGCCAAAGACAGATTAATTAGAGACAAATAGGCAGAAGTTTTCTCAGTGGCCTTTAACAAAAAAAAATAAAAATAAAAAAAAATTGTATTCCAAAGAGGCTTATTTTGAAGTGATATATTCCAGTACCCCTCAGAATACATTTCTGTCGTATGAAATAATCCCATGAACCATAAAGGAACAAAAAAACAGAATGTCTGTAGATCAGACTTTATTTGCAATATTAAATGCTAAGAAAAACAAAGGTTTACAGAGCTTTGGGCAGAAAAGATTGAGATCCAAGGCATTTTAGTTAGAAAAGCTCATATTTATATGCTAGAGCGACAGAAAGTTGTTTTTAGATACACTAGACTGAGAGGCAATGTCATATAAAATTCTTTGTGAAAAAAACTATTTGACTAGTCACTTAAGTCAACTAAGAAATAAATATAAATAACTCAGCAAATAGAATTCTTAGCTCTATAGAGTGATTAGCTTTAAAATTTCAAATGTAGTACTTACAAGATAAAAATACAAAATATTAAGCTAATAATTAATAATAACCTGGATCTGAAATCTGAGATTATATCAGCAAAACAGTGTGAAGGAAAAATAGTAATGTGAAAATTATGCCAAATGTAGCATCTGAGCTGGAGGGATGTGAATGATAATAGTTACTGTTTTACTCTGTTCATAGATGATGAGAGAAAAATAGACCCAAGTAAGTTTTAAAATGCTTAAAATTTAGAAAATTGAACTTTCTGTGTATCTGTATTAGTCAGGGTTCTCTAGAGGGACAGGACTAATAGGATAGATATATATATAAAGCAGAGTTTATTAAGGAGTATTGACTTACACAATCACAAGGTGAAGTCCCACAATAGGCCATCTGTAAGCTGAGGAGCAAGGAAGCCAGTCCAAGTCCCAAAACTTCAAAAGTGCAGCCTTCCGTCTGTGGCCAAAGGTCCAAGAGTCCAAAAGCTAAAGAACTTGGAGTCTGATATTCGAGGTCAGGAAGCATCTAGCATGGGAGAAAGATGAAGGCCAGAAGACTCAGCCAGTCTAGTCTTTCCAAATTTCTCTGCCTGATTTTATCCTAGTTGCACTGGCAGCTGATTAGATGGTGTCCCCCAAGATTGAGTATGGGTTTGTGTCTCCCAGCTCACTGATTCAAATGTTCATCTCCTTTGGTGACACCCTCACAGACACACCCAGGAACAATACTTTGCATCCTTCAATCCAATCAAGTTGACACTCAATATTAACCATCACGGAATCCTTTCCAAATCCCTAAAAGAAAAAATAATAATAATATAGTCAATATAATAAACATCAGCTAGAAAAGAAATAGGTGAGCAAAATAGAGAATCTCTGACAAGATCAGAAAGAATAATATAATTAGTGTAAAACGTTTTAGTAGTTCAATTAAAAACTAAAGTTTCTCAAATTAAAACATTATTTTAAAATCTTTACTTAATAGAAAAAGACCAAAAGTCAAATGTCAGAGAAGTAGTAAGAAATTTTTTAAATGGCAGAAATATATCATAAATACAAAGAAAAATAAGGAAATAATAGCAATCATAATGTAGAATAAAATATAATTCGAGATAAAATTGGTGAAGAATCACACCAGGAACATATCAGAAAAACCAAAAGAATTCACAGACCATTTGAAATAAGCGGCTTGCCACTGAAAACTCCATGAGACTGCCAAAAAACTGAGTGCCTGAAGTGTGAGAGGGGGAAATCCATCTCCAAACATACATCGGCCCTGGAGAACCTGAAAATCCAGAAGACGGGAGAAGAGTTTAACCTTACCTAGAGCTGAAATGAATTTAGAGAGCCCAGTGAAATAGAAAAGTAAAAGAAGTGGGAAAAGAACTGCAGGCACTCTTGTTCCCCAGGGAAGCCAAGGATAGCCATTTCTGAATTTATCTCACAGGGGTCCTTGAGGAGGGCAGCCAGTGGAATTGGGGAAGGTCCACAGGGAGAAGGAGACTTCCAGCTGAACTTTGTAATAATTTCCAAAGACGACAAATTTTCCTGGGCAGAGTCCAGGGGGTTGGGGTGTGGGGAACGGGAAGTACAGATAGGAGCACAGAAGCCGCAACAGGAAGGGAAGGGTGAGGACTGAAAGCCATGCTTGCTCTCTCAGCAGGGAGTCTTGTAGCCTGGGGCAGGATCTCAGCCCTGTGCACCAGAGGCCTGGGTATAAATTGGGCACTGTTGGCTGCTGGGGGAGTATGGCAGGAATGAGACTGGCCTTGCTGGTTTCATGGGAGCTGGGTAAGGCCTGTCACTGATGGCTTTCCACCACTTACCTGGCAACCTGTAGGAAGCAGCAGAGGCAGCCATAATCTCCCATGGAACATAACTCCATTGGCCTGAGACACACCCCATATCCCTCAAAGTGGCCACTGCAAGCCCAAGGAGAGTCTAGGCTGAGACCTGCCTAACCCTGCCCCCACCTGATGGTTTTCTCTACCCTTCCTGGTAACCAGAGACAAAAGATATAAACTTGTGGGAGCTCTATGGCCTCACCTATTACCTGAGACGACTGAATATTTACCCTGGCCAACTTAGGGCAAGCCTGTATCCCCCTTCTACTACCGCAGCTGATGCTCTCTTAAAAGTGCCACCTCCTGGCTGGAAGTCAACCAACTCAAGCCATTACAGCAACTTAGAACAATCCTACTCCAAGAAAGGAGAAAACACCACCTGTAACACCCTGGCTAACCAGAGGTCCTGAGTCTGTCCACATGACAGCTTCACTGCTAGCAAACCAGCATTCGAGAAAATCTGCACACTAAACAAACTACAACCAGCACTCTCACAGAGTCCACTTTGCTTCCCTGCTACCTCCACTGGGGCAGGTACTGGCATCCACAGCTGAGAGACCTGAAGACAGGTCTTCACAGGATCACATCACAGAAATCTTTGCAGACACTCCCCAATACCAGCCCAGAGCCCAGTAGCTCCACTGGGGGACTAGACACAGAAGAACAATAACAATCACTGCAGTTTTATTCTCAGGAAGCTCCATTTCTAGGGGAAGAAAAAGAACACCACATCAAGGGATCACCCCATAGGAAAAAAAAATCAGATTAGCAGCCCTTGAGTCCCAGATCTTTCCTCTGAAATAGTCTACCCAAATGAGAAGGAACCAGAAAAACAATTCTGATGATATGACAAAGCAAGATTCATTGACACCCCAAATGATCACACAAGCTCACCAGCAATAAAAAACAAACAAAAACAAACAAACAAAAAAAAAAACAAGGTAGTCAGGCAACAACTAGCAGGATGAATAGAACAGTACCTCACATCTCAATAATAACATCGAATGTAAAAGGCCTAAATGCTCCACTTAAAAGATACAAAATGACAGAATGGATAAGAATTCACCAGTCAAGTATCTGCGTCTTCAAGAGACTCACCTAACACATACAGACCCATATAAATGTAAGGTAAATGGATGGAAAAAGATATTCCATGCAAATGGACACCAAAAACAAGCAGAAGTAGCTATTCGTTTATCAGACAAAACCAACTTTAAAGCAACAACAATTTAAAAAGACAAAGAGGGACATTATAGAATAATAAAAGGACTAGTCCAACAGGAAAATATTACAATCCTCAATACATATGCACCTAAAACTGGAGCTTTAAATTTACAAAACAATTACTCCTAGAATTAAGAAATGAGATAAGAGGCAACACAATAATAGTGGGTGACTTCAATACTCCACTGACAGCACTAGACAGGTCATCAAAAACAAGTCAGACAATGGACTTAAACTATGCCCTAGAACAAATGGACTTAGCAGATATATTCAGAACATTCTACCAAACAACTGCAGAATATATGTTCTATTCATCAGCACATGGAACATTCTCCAAGGTAGATCATATGATAGGCACAAAACAAGCCTCAATAAATTTAAGAAAATCAAAATTATATTAATATGCTCTCAGACCACAGTGGAATAAAATTAAAAATCAACTCCAAAAGGAATCCTCAAACCATGCAAATACATTGAAATAAAATAATCTGCTCCTGAATTATATTTTGGTAAACAATGAAATTATAATGGAAATTTCAAAATTACTTGAACTGAATGATAGCAATAACACAACCTATGAAAACTTCTGTGATACAGCAAAAGCGATGTTAAAAGGAAGGTTCATAGCATTAAATGCCTACATCAAAAAGTCTGAAAGAACACATATAGATAGTCTAAGGTCACACTTCAAGGAACCAGAGAAATAAGATCAAACCAAACCCAAACCCAGCAGAAAAAAAAAAAAAAAAAAGAAATAACAAAGATCAGAGCAGAACTAAATGAAATTGAAACAAAAAAATACAAAAGATAAATAAAACAAAAAGCTGATTCTTTGAAAATATAAACAAAATTGATAGACCATTAGCAAGAATAACCAAGAAAAAATGGGAGGAGATCCAAATAAGCTCAACCAGAAACATAACGGGATATATTAAATCCAATAACACAGAAATACAAAAGATCATTCAAGTCTTCTATGAATACCTTTACACACACAAACTAGAAAACCTAGAGGAGATGGATAAATTCCTGGAAATATGCAAACCTCCAAGATTAAACCAGGAAGAAATACTCTGAACAGACAAACAACAAGCAGCAAGATTAAAATGGTTACAAAAAAACATTGCCAACAACAAAAAAAAAAGTCCAGGAACAGATGGAATCACAGCTGATTTCCATCAGACATTTAAAGAAGAATTGGTACAAATCCTATTGAAACTATTCCAAAAGCCAGAGAAAGAGGAAAGCCTCCCTGAATCATTCTATGAAGCCAGTATCACGCTAATACCAAAACCAGAAAAGAACATAACAACAACAACCAAAAAACTACAGACCGATATTCCTGACAAACATAGATGCAAAAATTCTCAACAAAATACAAGCTAACCAAATCCAACAGCATATCAAAAAGATAATCCACCATGATCAAGTGGGTTTCATACCAGGGATGCAGGGATGGTTTAACATCTGCAAGTCAATAAATGTGATACATCACATAAACACAATTAAAAACAAAAATCGTAAGATCATCTCAACAGAAAAATAAAAAGCATTTGACAAAATCCAGCATTCCTTTATGATTAAAACCCACAGCAAAACTGACATAGAAGGGACATACCTTAAGGTAATAAAAGTCATCTATGACAAACGTATAGCCATGTTATACTGATTGGGGAAAAGTTGAAAGTATTTCCCCTGAGAACTGGAGGAAGACAAGGATGCCCACTCTCACCACTTCTATTCTACAGAGGATGGGAAGTCCTAGCCAGAGCAATCAGAAAAGAGAAAGAAATAAAGGCATCCAAATCAGCAAAGAGGAAGTCAATCTGTCACTTTTTGCTGATGATATGATCATATACCTAGAAAACCCTAAAGACTCATCCAAAAAGCTCCTAGACCTGATAAACAAATTAAGTAAAGTTTCAGGATACAAAATCAATGTACACAAATTGGTAGCACTGCTATACACCAACAGCGACCAAGCTCAGAATCAAATCAAGAACTCAACCCATTTTACAATAGCTGCAAAATAAATAAAATACTTAGGGATATACCTAACCAAGGTGGTGAAAGACTTCTACAAGGAAAACTACAAAACACTGCTGAAAGATATCATAGATGACACAAATGGAAACACATCCCATGCACATGGATATGTAAAATCAATATTGTGAAAATGACCATACTGCCAAAAGCAAACTACAAATTCAATGTAATTTCCATTGAAATATCATCATCATTCTTCACAGAACTAGAAAAAACATATCTAAAATTTATATGAAACCAAAAGAGAGTCTGCACGACCAAAGCAAGACTAAGCAAAAAGAACAAATCTGGAGGTATCATATGACTTGACTTCAAATAATATTACAAGGTTATAGCCACCAAAACAGTATGGTACTGGTATAAAAATAGGCACATAGACCAATGGAATAGAATAGAAATCTCAGAAATACAGTCAAATAGTTACAGCAAACTGATCTTCAACAAAGCAAACAAAAACATAAAGTAGGGAAAGGACACCCTATTTAACAAATGATGCTGGGATAATTGGCAAGCCACATGTAGAAAAATTAAACTGGATTCTCATCTCTCACCTTACAAAGAAATCAACGCAAGATGGATCAACTACTTAAATCTAAGACCTGAAAGCATAACAATTCTAGAAGATAACATTGGAAAAACTCTTCCAGACATTGACTTAGGCAAACATTTCATGACCAAGAACCCAAAAGCAAATGCAACAAAAACAAAGATAAATAGATAGGGCTTAATTAAACTAAAAAGCTTCTACACAGCAAAAGAAAGAACCAGCAGAGTAAACAGACAACCCACAGAATGGGAGAAAATCTTCACAAACTATGCATCTGACAAAGGACTAATATCTAGAATCTACAAGGAAGTCAAACAAATCAGCGAGAAAAAAACATGTAATATCATCACAAAGTGGGCCAAGGACATGAATACACAATTCTCAAAAGAAGATATACAAATGGCCAGCAAACATATGAAAAAATTCTCAACATTACTAATGATCAGGACAAAAAAAAGATAAATAGATGGGAGTTAATTAAACTAAAAAGCTTCTGCACAGCAAAAGAAAGAATCAGCAGAGTAAACTGACAACCCACAGAATGGGAGAAAATCTTCACAAACTATGCATCTGACAAGCAACTAATACCTAGAATCTACAAGGAACTCAAACAAATCAGTGAGAAAAAAAAAAGTAGTATCATCAAAAAGTGGGCCAAGAACATGAATAGACAATCCTCAAAAGAAGATATACAAATGGCCAACAAACATATGAAAAAATTCTCAACATCACTAATGATCAGGGAAATGCAAATTAAAACCACAATGTGATGCCATCATACACCTGCGAGAATGGTCATAATTAAAAAATCAAAAAATAATAGATGTTTGCTTGGATGTGGTGAAAAGGGAACAGTTTTACACTGCTGGTGGGAATGTAAACTAGTACAACCACCATGGAAAACACTGTGGAGATTCCTTAAAGAACTAAAAGTAGATCTACCATTTGATCCTGAAATCTCACTACTGGGTATCTGCCCAGAGAAAAAGAAGCCGTTATATGAAAAAGACACCTTCACACACGTGTTTATAGCAGCACAATTCACAATTGCCAAAATATGGAACCAGCCCAAATGCCCATAAATCAACGAGTGGAGAATGAAAATGTTATATATCCACACACACCATGGAATACTACTACTCACCCATAAAAAGGAATTAAATAATGGCATTCACAGCAACCTGGGTGGAGTTGGAGACCATTATTCTAAGTGAAGTAACTCAGTAATGGAAAAACAAACCTTACATGTTCTCACTTATAAGTGGGAGCTAAGCTATGAGGGTGCAAAGATATAAGAATGATACAATGGACTTTGGGGAAGAGTGAAAGGGGGTTGAGGGATAAAAGACTACACATTGGGTACGGTGTATACTGCTTGGGCAGTGGGTGCACCAAAGTCTCAGAAATCGCCACTAAAAACTTATTTATGTAACCGAACACCTCCTGTTCTCCCCAAACCATTTTTTTTGAAATTTAAAATTTGAATATTTAAACGTACTTACTCTGTAGAAGGGACTTTCTATGCCCTGGAAACAGCAATTAACCAAACAGAAAGTGATCCCTGCCTTCATGGAATATCTTACTGATTTGAATAGATCATGATGATCATGATGATCATGATGAATATAGATACATAGATAGATAGAGAGATGGGCGCAGTTCTGCAGGCTAGAAGTCCTAAACCAAGATATTAGCAATGCCATGTTCCCTCTGAAGCCTCTAGGAGAGGATTCTTCCAGGCCTCATTTCAGCTTTTGGTAGTTCCAGGCATTTCTTGGCTTGTGGCAACATCACTCCACTCTGCCTCTGTCTTCACATGGCTGTCCTCCCTGTATGACTGTGTCTTTTCTTCTTCTTATAACAACAAGTCATATTGAATTCGCCCCCTCCCCCGCCCCACCAACAACCTCATCTTAATTGCATCTGCAAATATTTTATTTCTAAATATGATCACATTCACAGATACAGGAGTTAGGACCTCAGAATATTCTTTGGAGATACAAAATCTAACCCATCATACCTCTCAAAAAGCTAAACAAAACAAAATAAGGCAAAAACACTGGATTAAACCAAAAGAATAAAAATATAAGTAATAAGTAAACTTGAATCAAAACCTCATCAGCTAGAAAATAAATGTACAGTAAAGAAAAATAAATAAAACCAAAAATCAGTGCCTTAAAAACACTAAAAATTCGACTGACTTCTAGTAAGACTGAAATGAAAAGAGAGAAATCACAAACACCATACAAATAATAAAGTGATAGTAAGGATACAGAAAAAATACCTTATGCCAATAAATAAAAAAATTAAATGAAATTAAGAAATGCCTTGAAAAATAGCACCTTAAAATTATAAGAATAAATTAATCTAAATAGTCCTACATTTACAAAAAATTAATTTCTAATTAAGACTCTTCCCTCAAAGCAATCTCGTGGCTCAGATGACTAGTAAATTCCTCCAAAGATTTAAAGAAGAACAAAAGTCCAACATTACATGAAATCTTTCAGAAAACAGGAAAATTGAAAACACCTCCCAAATTAATCTTGATACTAAATCCCAAATAAGACAATAAAAGAAAGTTAAATGACAGGTTAGTTTCTCCAATAAATGCAGATGTAAAAATTCTAAATAAAATATTAGCAAATCACATCCAGTGATATACAAAAAAGAACACACATCACAGGCAAGTTGCTTTTATTCCAGGAATGCCGGATTTGTTTAACATTATATATCAAATTAATGTTATTCACTACATTAAGAGAATAAAGGAGGAAATATACAAGATCTTTCCAATAATCATTTGATAAAATTTAACACAATATGAGTTTTTAGAAATCAGCATACTAAAAAGTAGAGTAGAGAAACAATTTTTAATCATAACCATACTTGTTGAAAATTTGAGATTACTCTGGAGATTGTGAATTAAATATTGATACCCACTATTACCAATTTTATTGAATGTTGTAAAGAAGACCAGGACAGTGCAATAAGGCAAGAAAAAAAGAAAGAAAGAAAATAAATAAAACTATCAAGATACCAACATCATCTTTTTTTTTTTTTTCAGATGGAGTCTCATTCTGTGGCCCAGGCTGGAGTGCAGTGGCATGATCTTGGCTCACTGAAACCTCCGCCTCCCAGGTTCAAGCAATCCTTGTGCCTCATCTTCCCGAGTAGCTAGGATTACAAGCATGTGCCATGATGCCCTGCTAATTTTTATATTTTCAGTAGAGACAGGGTTTTGCCTTGTTGGCCAGGCTGGTCTCAAACACTTGACCTCAAGTGATTTACCTGCCTTGGCCTCTCAAACTGCTGGGATTATAGTCATGATAAATATCAAAATACTTAAGGATAAATATAATAAAAGATACACACAAATGTTGTTTTTAAAAGTATAAAATAATATTGATAAAAATTAAAAATCAAAGCAAATAAAAACATTTGACTCAACAATTCCACTCTTAGACATATATTCAAGAGAAATGAAAACAAGTGTTCATGTTTTCATGGACTTACACATAGATATATATCTTGGCATTTTTTATAGTAACCAAAAAGTGAATAAAACCCAAATGCCTATCACCTGATGAATGTGTAAAAAAAAGTGATATATCTATACAATAGGATATTATTTGGTAATGAAAATAATAAAGTTCTGATACATGCTACAGCATAAATGAAACTTGGACATACTATGCTGAATACAAGAAGCCAGTTACAAAAGGCCATATTATAGAATCTTATTTATATGGAATATTTAAAACAAGTGCATTGATAGAAACACAAATTACACTGGGGTTTCCAGGGACTAGATGGAGGGTCATGGGAAATGACCTGTAATGAATGGGTGTGTTTTCTTTTGGGGTAATGAAAATATTCTAGAATTAGATAGTTATGATTATTGTAAAAGTTTGTGAATATATTAAAAACTACTGAATTGTATACTTATGTAGATTGTATGCTAGGTTAATTATAGCTCAGTAAAGCTATTATAATAAATAAGATAAATTATTTTATTTATTTATTTATTTAGTTTTGAGACAGAGTCTCACTCTGTTGCCCAGGCTGGAGGGCAGTGGTGTGATCTTGTCTCACTGAAACCTCTGCCTCCCAGGCTCAAGCAGTCCTCCCAGTTCAGCCTCCTGAGTAGGTGGGACTACAAGCATGTGCCACCACACCTGGCTAATTTTGTATTTTTAGCAGAGATGGGGTTTCACCATGTTGGCCAGGCTGGTCCTGAACTCCTGACCTCAGGTGATCCGCCCACCTCAACCTCCCAAAGTGCTGGGATTACAGAAGTGAGCCACCACGGCCGACCTAAATAAGATAAACTATATACTATGATTATGGATTAGAAAGCCAACTATTTTAAAGATATCAATACTTTCAAATTAATCTATAGATTTAATGAAATTCCAATCAAAGTTCAAAAAAATTTTTGTAAAAGTGGATGATATTCCTAAAATTTATAAGAAATATAAAGGATCAAGAATACCCAAGACATTGGGAGGCCAAGATGGGCGGATCACCTGAGGTCAGGAGTTTGAAACCAGCCTGACCAACATGGTGAAACATCATCTCTACTAAAAATACAAAAATTAGTTGGGCATGATGGTGGGCACCTGTAATCCTAGCTACTCAGAAGGCTGAGGAGGGAGAAAGAATGGCTTGGACCTGGGAGGCAGAGGTTCCAATAAGCTGAGATCTCAGCACTGCACTCCAGCCCTGGCAACAGAGCAAGACTCCGTCTCAAAAAAAAAAAAGAAAAGAAAAGAAAAGAAAGAAAGAATAGCCAAGAAAATCTTAAAGAAGATGAATAAAGCTGAATGACTTACACTACTAGATATCAAGGTTTATTAAAAAGCCACAGTAATTAAGACAGTGTGGCATTGTACAAGTATAGAAAAACAGGTCAATAAACTTTAATAGAAAGTAAACAAAAAGATCCACATGTATTCAGTCATTAGATTTATGGCCAATGTAAAACTGCAGAGCAGTAAGGAAAAGATCGAGATTTTGTCCATAATGAGTCCATCAGATGGCCATATAAACATACATTTTTACCCTTACATTATATGAAAATCTATTCCAGATACCCTCTACATCTATATGTGAAAATGGGACAATTAAAAAAAACTAGGTGGAAAAAAACAGAAACCTTTCCTCATGATTTTAGAATAGGCAGAGATTTCCTTAACAAGAAATGAATTACAAAGGGAAACAAAAATAACTGTACAAAGGAAGAAAAAATTGGATGTCCTCATGAAAAAAAATGTAATTGTACCCTTATCTTTCACCATACAAAAAAAAAAAAAAAAACTCAAAATAAATAAAAGACTTAAACTTAAGGCCCAGAGGAAAAGGAAAAAGCTTCTTAACATTGATATTGGCAGTGAATTTTTTTTATTATACTTTAAGTTTTAGGGTACATGTGCACAACATGCAGGTTTGTTACATATGTATACATGTGCCATGTTGGTGTGCTGCACACATTAACTCATCATTTAGCATTAGGTATATCTCCAAATGCTATCCCTCCCCCCTTCCCCCACCCCAGCACAGTTAACAAAAGCAACAAATAAAAAGACAAATAGGATTGCATCAAACTACAAATTTCTGCACATGAAAGGAAATAAGCAAAGCCTTGAAAAGTCAATGTACAGAATAGAAGAAAATATATGCAAACCATATATCTGATAAAGAGTTAATATATAAAATATAAAAGGAATTTATATAACTAAACAGTAATAGAACAAAAACCTGATAAAAAATTGGGCAAAGGACATGAACAGACATTTGTCCAAAGAAGACATACAAATAATCAACAAGTATATAAAAAGGTACTCAACATCACTCATTATCAGGAAAATGCAAATCAAAACCACACTAAGATATCACTCCATGCTTTTTAGGATGGCTATTATTAAAAAGACAAAAGATAAGTATTGGCAAGGATATTGAAAAACAGGAATGCTTGTTGGTGAGTATGTAAATTGCTACAGCAATTATGAAAAACAGTATGTAGATTCTCAAAAATTAAAAATAGATCTACCATATGTTCCAGCAATTCCACTAGTGGGTATATATCCAAAGGAAATTAAATCAGTATGTCAAAGAGATATCTGCACTCCCATGCTCATTTCAGCATTATTCACAATGGCCAAGATATGGAAATAATGTAAATGTCCATTGACAGATGAACAGATTTTACAAATGTGGTGTGTGTGTGTGTGTGTGTGTGTGTGTGTGTGTGTGTAATGGAATATTATTCAGTCTTAAAAAAGAAAAAAATCCCCTGCTATTTGCAACAACATGGATGAACCTGGAGAACACTGCTAAGTGAGATGTAAGACACAAAATGAAAAATATTCCATGATCTCACTTATATATGTGACTTAAAATAGCCAAACTCAAAGAAGCAGAGTGTACAATGATGGGGGAGGGGGAAAGAAGGAGGTCATGATCAAAGGTACAAAGTTTCAATTATGAAAGATAAACAAGTTCTTGGGATCTACTACTATAGAGTTAGTGCCTTTATCTAACATTAGAGTATAAATACTTGAAATTTGCTAAGAGGGTAGATCTTATGTTCAGTGCTCTTACCGTACACAACAATAGTATTAGTAGTAGTAGTACTAATAATAAAGGTGAACGGAGGAAACTTTGGGAGGAAAAAGATATGTTTACGGACTTGATGGTGATTATTGTTTCAAAGGTGTATGATTATCCCCAAATTCATCAAGTAATATATATTAAATATGTACAGCTTTTCACATGTCAATTATCTCTCATCTAAGTGATTTTTTAAAACTAACACAAAATTGTTTTGGTTATTCTAATTACTTTGCTTACCCAAATACATTTTAGATTCAATCTGGTAATTTCTATCAAAAATATTCCTGAATGTTAGTTGTGATTGTGTTTAATCTATAGATCAACTTGAAGAGAATTGGTACTTAAAATTCTAAATCTCCCACTCAATAAACACAATATATTTCCCCATTTATTTATTTTAATCCTTCTGTCAGTATTTTGTTATTTTCTGCAGAGATTCTGCATATTTTGCAAGATTTATTCATAAGTATTTAATGATTTTTGTTGCTGTTACAATTGGCACTTTATTAATTTTAATTTCTAATCTCTTATTGCTAGTATTAAAGAACATAAACATATATATAATATATATATCTTACCAGTAAAGGTAAGTGGATGGACACATATAGTAACCTGTATTATTATAATTTTGCTGCATAGAATTTAAATGACAAAAATATAAAAAGTTAAACCTATGTTAATGAACACACAATACATAAAGATGTGATTTGTGACATCAATAACAAAATGGCAAAGTGAAGCTGTAAAAGAAGTAGTTTTTGCACGTAACTGAAGTTAAATTTTTAGCAGTTTAAAATAGACGGCTATAATTTTGAGATGTTTATATAATTATAATAGCAACCACAAAGAAAACATCTATAGAATACCCAAAAAAAGGAAATTAGAAGATAATCAAGGCATATCACTACAAAAAAAATCAAGAAAACACAACAGAAGGCAGGGTAAAACCAGAGAGAAAGTATAAAAAACTACCAGACAATACAGAAAATAATTGACAAAATGGCAATAGTAGGTTTTTCCCTATTGGTAAATGTAATGGGCTAAACTTCCCAATCAAAAGACATAGACTGGCTAAATGCATTTAAAAAAAAAATAGAGTTTAACCATATGCTGACTACAAGATATTCACCTTAAATCTAAACACACACATTGAAAGAGAAAAAATGGAAAATGATTTTCAATGAAAATGGAAACAAAAGAGAGCAGGGGTGGCTGTACTAACATTAAACAAAATAGCAAGGCAAAAACATTTATAGGAGACCAAAAAAGAATATTATGTAAAGACAAAATGGTGAATTTACCAAGAAGATTTAAAAATTATAAATATTTATGCACCAAGCCTCAGAATTCCTAAATATATGAAGCAAACTCTGACAGAACTGAAGGGAGAAATAAATAGCAACAAACTTATAGCAGGAGACCTCAATACTCTACTTTCAGTAATGGATAGAACAATCAGACAGAAGATCAATAGGAAATAGAGAACTTGAATAATACTGAAGATTAATTGTACCTAACAGATACATACAAAACACTCCACACAACCACAGCAGTATACACATTGTTCTCAAGTTCATATGGAACATTCTCCAATAAAAAGCATATA
This sequence comes from Homo sapiens, assembly GCF_000001405.40. NCBI lineage: Eukaryota > Metazoa > Chordata > Mammalia > Primates > Hominidae > Homo > Homo sapiens. The sequence goes on along the minus strand of NC_000004.12, from coordinate 79,480,067 downwards.
TTAGCCCACAAAATAAGTCAAGAAATTCAAGATTGAACTCATACAAAGCATCTTTTCTTATTACAATGGAATGAAACTAGAAATCAATAGCAAGAGGAAAACTGGAAAATTCACAAATATTGGAAATTAAACAGCACACTCCTAAACAACCAATGGGTCAAGGAAGAAGTTACAAGGGAAATTTTTAAAATGCCTTGAAATAAATATAAATGAAAATATAGCATACAAAATTTCATGGGATGCATTGAAAGCTGTGCTAAGAAGGAAGTTTATAGCCATAAAAAAATATATTAAAGAAGAAAAATCTTGAATTGATAATCTAACTTTACATTTCAGAGAATTTGGAAAAGAACAAACTAAATCTGAAACTACCAAAAGGAAGGAAAAATACAATTTAGAAGAAAGATAAAGGAAATAGAGAACATTAAAAAAATCAACAAAGTAAAGAATTGGTTTTTTTGAAAAGACCATCAAAATTGAAAAACCTTTAGCGAGATTAACTAAGAAAAAAATGAAGACTGAAATAACTAAAATCAGAAATAAAAGAGGGTCATTAAAACTGATGCCATAGAAATACAAAGAATCATATGAGAATACAATGGACAATTATACACCAATAAATTAGATGACCTTGAAGAAATGAATAAATCCCTGGAACACAAAATTTGCCAAGATTTGTCCTCAAGAAATAGAAAATCTGAACAGACTAACAACTAGTATGGAGATTGAATCAGTAGTCAAAAAACTCCCAACAAAGAAAAGTCCAGGACCAGTTGGCTTCACAGAAGAATTCTACCAAACATTTAAAGAAAAATTATCACCATCCCTCCTCTAACACTTGAAAATATTGAAGAGAAGGAAATACTTCCAAGCTCATTCTATGAGGTCATCAGTCTCCCGCTACCAAAGCCAGCCATAGACACTACAAGAAAAGGAATCTACAAATCGATAATTGATGAGCACTCATAAAAATACTCAACAAAATATTAGCAAACTAAATTCAACAGCATATCAAAAGAATGATACACAATTATCAGGTGGTATTTGCTTCTCGAATGCAAAGCTGGTTCAACAAATGAAAATGAATTAATGTAATACACTCCATTAATAGAATGAAGAGCAGAAACCATGTGATCATCTCAGTGGTTGATATTCTTCACAGAGCTAGAAAAAACTGTTTTAAAATTCATATGGTACCAAAAAAGAACCCAAATAGCCAAAGAAATCCTCAGCAAAAAGAACAAAGCTGGAGGCGTCATGCTACCCAACTTCAAACTATAGTAGAGGGCTACAGTAAGAGTTTTTCATGGTACTGATAGAAAAAACAGACACATAGAAAGAACCATTGGAACAGAATAGAGAACCCAGAAATAAGACTGCACACCTATAACTATCTGATCTTCAATAAGCCTGACAAAAACAAGCAACAGGGAGATTTCCTATTCAATAAATGGTGTCGGGAGAATTGGCTAGCCATATTGCAGAAGATAGAAACTGGAACCCTTCCATACACCATATACAAAAATTAACCCAAGATGGATTAAAGACTTAAATGTAAAACCCAAAACTATGAAAACTCAGAAGACAACCTAGGCAATGCTATTCCAGACATAGGCACGAGCAAAGATTTCATGACAAAGATGCCAAAAGCAATTGCAACAAAAACAAAAATTGACAAATGAAGTATAATTAAACCAAAGAGCTTTTGCACAGCCAAAGAAACTATCAACAGAGTAAACAACCTACAGAATGGGAGAAAATTTTTGCAAACTATGCATCTAACAAAGGTCTAATATCCGGCATCTACAAGGAACTTAAACAAATTTACACAAAAAAAGCAAATAATCCCATTAAAATGTGGGCAAAGGGCCAGGCGTGGTGGCTCACGCCTGTAATCTCAACTCTTTGGGAGGCCAAGGCGGGCGGATCACGAGGTCAAGAGATCGAGAACATCCTAGCCAACATGGTGAAACCCCGTCTCTACTAAAAATACAAAAATTAGCTGGGCATGGTGGTGCATGGCTATAGTCCCAGCTACTCGGGAGGCTGAGGCAGGAGAATCGCTTGAACCTGGGGGGCGGAGGTTTCAGTGAGCTGAGATCGCACCACTGCACTCCAGCCTGGGTGGCTGAGCAAGACTCCGTCAAAAAAAAAAAAGAAAGAAAGAAAGTGGACAAAGGACATGAACAGACATTTCTCAAAGGTAGACATACATGCTGCCAACAAGCATATGAAAAAAAGTTCAACATCACTGATCATTAAAGAAATACAAACCAAAACCACAATCATATACCATCTCACACCAGTCAGAATGGCTATTGTTGAAAAGTCAAAAAATATCAGGCAAGGTTGTGGAGAAAAGGGAACATTTATACACTGTTAGTGGGAATATAAATTAGTTCCACCATTGTGGAAGACAATATGGCAATTCCTCAAAGACCTAAAGACAGAAATACCATTCATCACAGCAATCCCTTTACTGGGTATATACCCAAAGAAATATAAATTATTCTATTATAGAGACAAATGCATTGCAGCACTACTCACGATATCAAAGACAAGGCATCAACTTAAATGCCCATCAGTGGTAGACTGGATAAAGGAAATGTGCTATGTATACTTTATGGAATACTATGCAGCCATAAAAAGAATGAGATCCCGTCTTTTGCAGGGACATGGAAGGAGCTGAAGGCCATTGTCCTTAGCTAACTAATGCAGGAAGAGAAAACCAAATACCACATGTTCTCACTTATAAGTGGGAGCTAAATGATGAGAATACATGGACACATAGAAAACAACACACACTGTGGTCTTCCTGAAGGTGGAGGGTGGGAGGAGGGAGAGGATCAGGAAAAATAATGAATGGGTACTAGGCTTAAAACCTGGGTGATGAAATAATCTGTACAACAAACCCTCATGAATTTAATTAAAGTTTGCTTAAAATAAAAAAGTAAAAATACTTGACATTTATTTGCACTACTGAAATCATTGTGTAAATAAATATGCATGTTTTCCATTTTTCCCCTGAGACAAAAGGAAGAGATGAAGCTATAAAATGTCTCATTGGTCAAAATGTAATTGAATAATTTTGGTTCCCATTTATATTTAGAAGAAAGCCACATATCCTTCATGCCTAGATTGTTTGTGGTTCAGTTTCTCCAGAGAATAAATCATGTTTCCAGAGGTGAATGAGTGTTAATTGCCTGCCTACATGATTGGAGAGAGGGTAAGAAGCGTGAAAACCTAGATTACCTATTATTCCATAAGTTGACACTCAGATGATATTTTTGATTTCAGTTCTTTTCTCCCAACTTGCCTTCCCTGGAATCAGATGGTTCCAATTTTTTTTTTTTTTTTTTTTTTTTTTTTTTTTTTTTTTTGAGCTAGGGTCTAGCTCTTTTGCCCAGGCTGGAGTACAATGGTGTGATCTTGGTTCACTGCAACCTCCACCTCCCGGGTTCAAGAGATTCTTTCTCCCACCTCAGCTGCTTGAGTAGCTGGGATCACAGGTGCCTGCCACCACACCTAGCTAATTTTTGTGCTTTTAGTAGAGACAGGGTTTTGCCATGTTTGCCAGGCTGGTGTCGAACTCCTGACCTCAAGTGATTCACTCCCCTCAGTCCCCCAAAGTGCTGGGATTACAGGCATGAGCCACCACACCCAGTCTGGTTCCAATTTTTGAGCTTTCCCTGGAATTATTCTGGGAAAATAACTCACTTTTTGGCAGTATCCACAGCTGTGGAACACTTAGGAAGGATGTCCCAATTCTGCTAAATGATTTATCGTTCCCACAATCTAGCTGGCTTCCCAATGCCTCCTATTTTCTGGGTATTGTTTTTCTTGAGTTCTTAGAGCAAGCTTCAAGAAATGAGAATATTAAAGTACCTTCAAAATGGGTGTTTCCCACCATATCAATTTAAAATTGAATCTGCAATGAGTTGAAACAGTGGTTCAGTTTACCAAAATTCAATTTGAAAACAATGTTTTCAGCACATATATGGTACATTTCCTGGAAGTGTGCAGGACAAGCAATGGTTCAGGAATGACTGTGTTTCAGAATTTAAAGAACTAATTTTTTTCTTTAATACAATGAAGGAAAAAATCAAAGCTTAGAACAATTAGCTGTGTCCAAAATCATATGACAGGGCCACGTTCAGGTAACACATATATTATTCACTGATCCAGTAGTCTAAATGGTTTTCTATGATTAAACTGTTATGTTATAGATCATAATTTTTTGTCTTCATAAGAATCAAAATAAAGCCCGATTAATCAATACATATGTGTTTTGTAAAACCTCTGCATCAAACATATTTAAATTAGCCAAGCAAATTGTTCTACATATCTTACCCATAAATTGTGAAAAGATAAAGATTGTATTTTGCTTGAAGGAGACAGATACAGGGATGGTATGGTGGGAGTGAACTGCATATCATGTTAATTCTTCTGGTTTCCCATACCTCTCTATTTCTTTAGGAGTACTGTTATTCTGTTGATAATATTTTTAAGACTATAAGTTTCTTATAGGCTAAGATTGACAGTCATTTTACTTTCAATTCAGAAGGAATTTTAATCAGATTATTTGAGATTCATAGGAATTATGTGAGTAATTTGATGATTTGTGGGTTCCCTAAAATTGGAAAAACAGCAAAATTCTCTTTCTAATATGGACCATTAAAAATAGTCATATCCAATTCGTTTTATGGGCAGAATTGTAGTCATACGGGTACATATGGGCAAATTACTTAAGTAGCTATAACAACATGCCAGTCACATTATTTAACTATTCACCAGAAAAAATCAAAATCATAGGTAAGATATTTTTATGTGGAAGAGTTTGCTATTCTATTAATTTCCATTGAAGTGTACAAAACAAAATTTGAAAGTAAGAGCAAAGTAAGACTGGTTAAAAATAACTGAAACTAACTAAACAACAAACAACCATCCCCACCAAAGTACGGTTGTGCTTTGATACTCAGAGACCTCCAGAAGAATCACATAGAGTGTATTTAAGATGAAATATTAAGACTCGGGATTACTTTGCTCAGCTGTGGGGAGCCAGAAAACTTCTTAGATATTATAATGCCAGTTCAAACTTCTGAAAGATGACTGATAGCCAGGTAAGAAAATAATAAAAAATAATTTTAGAGAGCAATAATCATGAACAAAAATTTGGAGGCATAAAATAGCAATGATGAATATGTGGAACAAGAATATATGATAAAATTACCTATCAAATTTAATTTCATTGAACGAGCACTTATTATTTGCCAACTACTGCCAGACCCTGTGCTAATCAGTGAGACTCTATAGAAGAGAGCACACATTGTTTCTTGTTCTCATGAGGCTTACTCTCTACCTAACTTAGGACATCTTATTTTGTAAAGAAGTTTTCATTTTCTCCATTATTTTAACATTCACCAGTCCACTATTTTCAGTAGTACATCAATATTTGTTTAATAAATTAACATACTGAGGGAAGGATATAATTATGCTCATTATATAAGATTAGCAGTATGGTTTAATTGCAATTTTTAAAAATTCATCTGATGTCAGGCTTGGCCCTAATGAAAGAGAAGGATCAAGAAAATTAGGAAGAACTCTGATTGAATATTGTTTTCAAATTTCACATTTTCTCAAATGTACCTTCAAAAACTAATGTAACATCAACATGTTATTTCATATTACTTACAGTTAACTACTATAAATAAGGAAGAACTCCTAGATTGAATAATCTCCTCAATTGTTGATCATGTCTTGTTACCACCATAGAAATAAGTTAATTCCATAATAACTAATTTGGCAAACAACATTATTATGAATAATTGGAAACAACTGATAATTAGAATTGTAGAAATCACTACTTTTGATATAAAAAGGCAAATTAACATGATTTACTTAGATAATTTATTACTGCATATTTACAAATCATATTTTAATATGGAAGAATCAATGCTGAGCCTGTCAATTATTTATTTTTAGTCTGGTTAGGATTTGTGAGTTTAAATTTCAAAATATGTCTGCATAGCAACAAAATTTATATAGCTTTTATTTATAACAACTGTACTAACATCCTTAGGGCTTTCGTTTGACTAAGTCAGCTCTGGTTTCTAGAATCAGATTTTGGATGCTAAATGGCAACAGAGGTTAAAGAATTATATGTGAATAGTAATATGTATGTTAATATAAATACTTTAGATAAAATAAGCGTGTCAGATTAGGAAGAGATGACTATTAAAAGATAAATTACCTTCACATTTAAATTGAGTCAGTGAAAGGGAACAACTATTTTTAAACATCATAAATTCTTTTATGAAAGTAAGAAGTTGCTCCTTGTCTCAATGGAAATTAAAGGCAGAGTTAATTAAGGCACAGAGATACTTTAAGCCACAAAACAGCAAGCCTCATAACAGAAAAGCGTATAGACTTTTAACTACGATAGCATGTATGGCAAATGACTGCAATAAGCAGGGAGAAGTGTTCTGTGTGGTGCTGCCGTGATAAATATTCATGGAATAGAAGATACTAAAACTAGAGCAGTAAGCTCTCTTGTCACCACTTGAGTCTTGATATGTCTTCATTGCCTGTAAATGTACATGCTGAAAAATTCAGGGACTGTGTCTGAAAAAGAAATGTGATTTTGTCATCTGTCCACCCTCTGTCTTACCCATTACAGCATATATTATCACGTCATTTGCTCTATCAGTTCTTCATCTTCTCTTCATTACTTCCTTTTGAATACAAATGTCATATATTATGTGCCTATATTAAATTTCAACTTGAAAAAAAATCTAGTGTTTATCAGACTAGCAGGTAAATGAGACTTCCGTGCTGTAGTTAAAGAAGGAACGTGATGTCATTACATAAATTGCAAACTGAAGTTAGTTATGGACAGGGCTTTTTTATTATTATTGTTCCTGATTTACTGACTCTGTAAAAGCATGCTAACATATTTATCACCCAGTGGAAAGTGCCCTTGCTGATTAGAAAACAGCAGAAATATTGTATAAGAAGAAATACCTCCAAATATTTGAAAGTACATTCAAAATTTTGTTTTGCTCTGAAGAATTTTATAAAGAGTGTTGGGATGAGGCCAATGAGTCAACAAAAACTTGCTCAAAGGGCTCAAGAACCCCAATTAAATTGTGATGCCAAAATGTGGTGTAACTAGCTAAGTGCCAGTAAAACAACTGAGCCACTCAAAGATAATTGACCTAGATGTGTTTCTCTATTGTGAAAGGTTAGTTAATGTGACCTAGTATTTCCTAAAATCATTACTATCCTGACTTACACAATGGTAAAACAGATGTTTCTACCATCAAGAATCACTTCCAACTGGTAACAAAGGCAGAAGACACAGAAACCTGGAAATGCTAAGAGCAAACCCATTTTATAGATGGAGAAACTGATGCAAATAGAGCTATAAAATTTAAGATTTAAAAGAGAATTTCAGAATAATTTACTGCAAGCTCCTCATTTTAATAAGTTAAACTACTGAGGAACAGAGAAGTTAAATATTTAGTGCAAAGCCATATGCTAAATAAACTCAAATTAATCAGAAAACTATAGGATTAATAAATGCCTTGACAGTTTAGTATATTATTCAATTTCACATGCCTAGTTTATTCTGAATACTTCAGCCTATGTATGGGTCCTTTACTAGTTTAGAACCATATTTTCAAATACTAAAAATATGGTTAAATCAACTGTAAGGTGATGAAATACAAATGGTCACAAATCAAAAAGGCAAGTTAAGATTTTATTTCCAGAATCAAGGCTCAGTACAGCTCAGTAGGACACATATGGATCTACTGAAAACATTTGACAATTTGAACACATTTTCTGTGTTTCATTTCATTTAGCCTAGAATTTTCCTAGATCTGGCTCTGATTAAAGACGGCATGTAGAGGGGCATCTGGAGAGTCCAATTCAAAAATGAAAAACATAATTCTCTTTCTCCACTAATTCAGTTTTCAGTGTTAAATGAAATAAAGTTCCAATTATGAGTATAAGAAAGATTCAGTAAATAACTACATTACAGATTTTTATTCTTTTTTGATACAAATTCCTCTATTATTATAGAGAAAACCATTGTCTTCTCTCTTTGTTTCATATCTCAATTTTATTTCCCAGGCTTGCCAAGTTGCGGTAATGATTCCAGAAGTTGTGCGAAAGGCATCAAATTATTCCACAAAGGAATGGAACCAATTATGTGTTTTGCCTTTTTGTTCCTTCCTTCACTGAAAGACAGAATATTTCCTCATTCAGTCTTCCATGCCCTATTTTCTTGAAATTTCCCCCTTCTCCACCTCTGGCTGCTTCCCTCTCTTCCTCAAGATGCAAAGTATGTCAGAACTTGACTGAAAATACCTCAATCTTCAGAGGTGTCCTCTCTCCATCAGGAAGTGAAGAGCTTTTGTTCTAAACCAAACATTCTTTAATAAAAACTTTACCTTAAACATCACATTGTACAAACATGTCTGTTATCCCTATACCTTAAATAGCCTACAAAGAGGATAAAGAAAAATCCTTAATTAATTTTAAGAAGAAGAAATAAATGTTCTTTGCTGACATTTGATATTTTTATATAACTTTTGCATAATTGAGTCCAGATGTTAAGTAACAATAGTCTCAGTGCTAATTGTGAATATCATTTGGGCTATTCAAATACTGAATTTGCATTTTATATAACACCTCTCAAACCAAATCTGGTGTTTCTTAGTGATATTACCTAAAAACTTTTGGAATAACTTACATTTATTCCTACCAAATCTGTACAGTTTAATATGCTTTATTAATTAGAGTTAGGATTCTTTTAAAAGTAGAGTATGTTTAGTATGGCAACGTTCATAGCGCACGGTTCCACAATAGCCAAAAGGTGGAACAAACCAAATGCTCATTGATGTATGGATGGATAATCAAAATGTGGTATTTACAGACAATGGAATACTATTAGGCCTTAAAAAGAAATAGGATTCTGGCTGGGCGCGGTGGCTAACACCTGTAATCTCAGCACTTTGGGAGGTAGAGGCAGGCGAATCACCTGAGGTCAGGAGTTCAAGACCACCCTGGCCAACATGGTGAAACCCCATCTCTACTAAAACTACAAAAATTAGCTGGATGTGGTAGTGCGTGCCTGTATTCCCAGCTACTCAGGAGGCTGAGGCAGGAGAATCACTTGAAGCTGGGAGGTGGAGGTTGCAGTGAGCCAAGATTGTGCCACTGCACTCCAGCTTGGCCAAAGAGTGAGACTCCGTCTCAAAAAAAAGAAAAAAAAAAAGAAATAAAATTCTGACCCATGTTACAACATATATGAACCTTGAAGACATTATCCTAAGTGAACTAGCCAGACAAAAAGGATTATGTGATTCCACTTACATAGGGTATCTAGAGGCATCAGACTCATAGAAATGGGAAGTTGAATGGTGGTTGCCGGGAGCTGGGTGAAATAGACATGTGGAGTTAATGTTTAATTAATACAAAGTTTCAGTTTGGGAAGAAAAAAGGATCTGGAGATGCATGGTGAGGATGGTTACACACATACAAACAGTGAATGCACCTAATGCCACTAAACTGAACACTTAAAAATTGTTAAAATGGTGGCTTTTCAGTTATGTATATTTTACCATAATGAAAGAGTCTAACATTAATAAAGCTTTGTATTTTGATATTCACTGATTCTAATAATAATAGCTGCAGTTACATGTCACCCTTTTGCAAGGTAGATGACATAAATTATCTTTGTTTCACAGATGGGGGAAATATAGGATAATAATCTCCATAAAGCCTTGGACGACATCAGTGTCAATATTAGAACACATTTCTCTGACGTTTATTTTCTTTCCACTATAAGAAAATATGGTCATAAACCAAAAAATGTAAGACTAATCTTTTGTAAAATTGAAGTTGACCATCTGTATTTTCCTGACTCCTCCCTTTAGAATACAACCTCTAATGACCAATTCCTTATTCTCCATGCATTAACTCAAAGGCAAGATCCCTTCAAAACCCCTCCCCATACTTAGTCCAGTGTTTCAAAAACTCATTCAGACCTACCCTCTCAGACACTGGAATTAATCTCACTTTTTCCTGGTCACTCATTCAATCTTGCTGATACTCCTCAAGCTAAATTACTCAGGCCTCCTTCTGCCTAGACTAATCTAATAAATGAAATAGTGTTCAATTATGAATGAATAATGATATAACAGTATGGTTGTTCCTTATAGAAAAAAAAATTCTAGGGTTTCCAATATTTTGATTTAAAGAGTCAATTAATTTGGAAATTTCTCATGTTAAGCCAATCCTTTCAAGGTGAATATTTTTGAACATAGGGAACATTTGACACCACCTTGGATAGGTGACTGTCAGCCCCACCAGACCTTAGGCCAAAGGTCAAATTTACACACTGATTTCTTCCTTGCTCAATATCATTATGGAGAACCTATATTGACAAAGGGGACCCATGCTGAATAATGCACAAACTACTCTGCCTTCTATAACCCTACAATTAAAAAAAAAAAGCATACGTGCATTAGAAATAAGATGAGAAATATCTGTAAGGATGCAGATAGTATTACCAGTCATCAGAAAAGAGATAGATAAATGTTATTTTATAAATCCAGTAATACTTTACAGAACAGATGATTCTCAAATATATTAACTTATAATCTCAAAATAATTTTATGTTTTATCTGCATCTGAATTAAAGTACTTATGTCAAAAATACTTTTGAAAAATAAAATAACTCAATTTTTACTTTTTAAAAATGTTTATATATTAATTGCTTAAAGATACATTTAAAATTTATAAATAATATATTATTTCATTTAATTTTTAGGGTTCTACATGGTATTTAAATAAACTAATTAATACAAAAATTTTATATGCTCATGTTAAGATAAAAGAGTAAACAAAACCCCAACTTTTACTAATGCCTAGTTTTGCTTTCACACTTTTTAATGAATAGAGAAGTATATGTGTACATTTGCGTGTGTATACGTACATATATATATTTTCATATATTATTAAAAACCCAAATGGATATTATACACAGGGGTCTGAGGCTTATTTTATTTTTTTAACTTAACGTTCATCTTAGAGATCATTTTTATTGAAACATATAAGCCACACTATTTTTTACAGGTCTACATGGTCCTCTCCTTATTATTGTATTATTATGCCACAATTTGTATAACCATGAACATTTAATTTTTTTCCCATCCCTTTCTATATTTAAACCAATACTGTAATTAATATTCCTATACACACATCTTTCTGTTATAATATGGTTTTAACTTCTAGAAAATACTTACAGTATCTGTAGACTAAATTTCTAAAAATAGAATTACAGGATGAAAGGATGTGTATATTTAAGCATTATTTGTTGGGTATTGCCACATTGCTCCAAAGAAGTTGCACCAACTGATATTCTAACTAACAGTATATGAAAGTATACTTTCCGGACACACTGGGTAATTCTTTTGTTTTCCTCAAATTTATGATCTTGTTGTAAAATGGTATCTCATTAATGGTTTATTTGACATTTCTTTTGTCAAATAAACATAGAGAATTTTTAATATGCTGATAAGCCATTCATGCTTCCTTCCTGTGAAATACCTGATCAAGTCTTTTCCTACATTTTCTTTAGGAGAAAAGCAAATCTAGAAGAGGCAGAAAGCTTGATAAAAAGCCTAACTGGCATCTATTGAATGAATGTCTCCACATGATGATACATATGTAAAAATTAATACATCTTTAAGAAATTCCATAAAGAAATTTGTGAAATTTTGCATCTACATATGCATCCATTTAGAGATGACAATTCTTAGTATGAAGTATGACTCTAAGAAGAAGTGAGTCCATGGGGAAGAGCTAGGAGAGGAGCATGGAGAAGAGCATCAAAAAGTGGAAAATATGAGAGAGAAGAAAGAAGACAGACAAAAAAAGGCAGAAGAGGAGAGAGAAGAAGAAGAGGTACATGGAGGAGAGGAGAATAAGCAGGGGAAGAAAAGTCTGTCTCTGTCTAAACTGATTTTGCCCCACTTGAATAGAGTTGTTAATAATGTACAAATCATTTCATATATAGTTTTTCCGAATTTTGCTTTTCAGGCTATCAGTAGAAATATTAGGAGTTTTTGGTATATACTCAGCAAACTTATGGCATATCTTTTCTTCTAAAGCTAACATCTGTTAGCTTATAGTTTTCTGAGATGTATAATTGTTACTTCATTCTTATTTGACACAGAGTCTGTTTCTTGTAATGAATACAGTTGGGACCTCTTAACACAACACACTGTAATACTTTCCAACAGAGTCCTTTTATGTCTTTGTATTCAAATCATTGTGGATGGGGTCAAAGAACAACTCATCTTATGTTGCACTCCAGCCAAGAACAGTGTGCTAGGAAAAGCCCAGTGAATCATTGTAATTGTATTGTTATAATTAGTTTCAGAATTAGAGCAGGAGTTCAGTCACTTTTATATAACTTACAAAGCTTACCAAATTTTATAAAATTCTGATCACTTTAATTGTTCATCCTTTGATTTTTTTTTCAAATTGCTGTATTTAGTGTTTCTGTTTTCTAAAGAACTGTGACAGAAGCAGCAGCAGCATGAGGTCCATACTTTATCCACCTGTGTTTTGCAAAAACCCATAGTGATTCCAAGAACAATGCATCTCTGAAAGAACAAAATTAACTGATTACTAGGCTGTAACTGCAAGAGGGAAGATAATTAGTGGCTTTGAAAAAGAAAATTGTTAATAAAAAGAAAATTTTTATTTGGCAAAAATGTTCAAGAGTTCTGAAATAATTCATTTTAGAGAAGACATCCAAGTAATTAAATTATAAACCTTCACTAAACAAGTACAAGGAAATGTAACACTAATTTTCTGTGATAAATTAAGTTGGTAATATTTAGAAAGGTATTAAGCAATTTGGAAGCCTGACTAAAATAACTGAAAATTTGTGAGTATAATAAATATGACAAGGGCAGGTGGTCTGCCCCAAAAAATATTTCATTTTTCATATATCTTTTCAATATTGTATAAGTAGAGCATTATATCAATGCATAAATAATCTGCTGGTAAATCCTTGGCTCTTCTTGACTTATACAAACATTTACATTAACTTGAAATAAAAAGCTAAGTGGTTTTCTTTTCCTTTTCCAGCCAACACCCACTGCCCTACTCTCAGAATTCTGTGTACTATAGAAAAGTCATGGAGCATTGCTCCAGCCTAAGAACGTGTCATGAGTCAAATATGTATTCCTGCAAAATTAGATGACCAAATGGAATTTCTGTTTGAGCAAATGTTAGTATTTAGGGCCAAAACAGAATTCTATCATCACAAATTCAACTGAAAAGGGAAAGCATCAACAAAGAAAAATATTTAAATATTTAGATAACTTATCTAAATATTTATCAACATAATTTGCTTTACCAAAAATCTACATACATCATATTTAAATCTGTTAGTGTGAGAGAGTAAGACAATAGGAATGAAATTCAAGCTTTGTTGTTATTTTTTTAACATCTGCCACTAAACAGATACATGGCCCTGGAAAAATCACTTTATCTAGGTCTTCAGTTACCTATCTGTAAAATGTAGGAGTTAGACAAATAATTGTTCCCAAAATGCATTTCATGCAGGGTTCTATAGAACAATGTTTGATAATGTAGCCCTCCAGGAAAATACACAATACGTTGTAACACAGTAATGATTCAGAAAATCCCTTTAGGAAAGAAACCTGTAGGATATTGCTTAACCCCCTGCTCCCATACTTATTTGACCATGAAATTTTCTTCAAAGAAAGGCTGCAAGCATCCTAAAAGTACCTATTAATTAAAAAAAGAAGAAAGGAATCATAAGTTTCTTTCAGCTCTAAAATTTTATATTTTAGAAGTTATATAACTGAAATAACATACTCCTGATTATTAAAATTTAATATCATACTTTAAGAAATAACCTTAGGAATCAGTCATAATAATAATGTATGTAAAAATCAAATAATTTATATCAAAATTAATTATAATCGTGCACTTCTAATTTTGATCATTCAAATTTGAAGGTTTTCAAAATAACTTGTTCATAGACTAACTCAGTAGATGACCTGAGCCAAGACATATAAACATGTTTCTACTGAAATCCAGGAATGTTTTAAATAATCAAATACATTTTAGTATTCTGCTTTTCAAAGAAACAAAGTGAAAAAATTCTTCATGTAGTAGTAGTAAAGTAAAACATTAAATTGTATATTATAACAACAAAATAATTTTTATTTAAGAAAAATTCACCAAATATTCAAAATCTCAAACTCTTTCTTATATACTTTCCTATGGTTTGCCCTTTGTGAATGTGTTGTTGGTACATGAATCAAAAAATCCCTATTACACATTTATACTACTGGTTCTTAATTATAGAGCACAGATTCCACTGAGAAGGGATCTCTGGGTGCTAAAAGCTAATCAGATAATCTTAGAAAGTCCCTTCTGACTGTCATTCAACACTTAATCATACATTTACCATAAATTAAGCATTCAGCCTCTGCCAGCCTTAGAGTAGTTTGGAGGTGCAGGCTTGCTATTTACAATTTTGACCTGTTACCAAGCAGTTCAGCCTACTTGCAGAGAATGAAAGCTTAAAGCGTTGATACTTAAATGTAGGCTAATGTAAATTTAAATTGGTCTTTCTAACACTGGCTGATTAGAAATTTCTTAATATTTGTATCTAGCATCCTTCAATGATCCAAACCTGTCTCCCGTGTTTAGCAAAAATCAAAACTACCCGATGTATGCCCTCTTCTTGTATCCTTGACTAGGATAGAACACTCCACCATGCTTAAGTGATAATGGGAAAAGAGATTTCAGAATGAGACCACTAAGAGTCATTAATCCACAGGTGTCATGACAAGCTGCTTGGCCCTCTCAGAGCATTACTCAGGGAATATTGATTTTTCCTCAAATCCTGAAACAACCTCACAGATAAAGATATTCAGGTAATCTGATTTTTATGATAGCTTCATATTCCAATAAATCCCCTACTTGGTGAATGGATCATTACCTCTTGAATTGTACAAAAAATGTGCGTGTATGTACAAAAAATGTGTGTGTACTCTTTGTGTTGTTGCTAGTAAAGGTTGATTGAAGTAAGATAATAGGAAAGCTGGACGGGAAGTCAGAGTCATTCAAATCAACTAAGTGACTTCTTTAGAGACACAGAGCAGGTTTCTTATAAACTGCCTATTTTCACTCCAACCTATTAACATATACCTCCATCTTTCCCATCCCTACACACTCCTTATAGTCATCTGTCCCACTCCAATGTTATCACAGTTTTTGGTTAACGGTTCCTTCCTTTAACCTCTCACCTTGTTTTGGGAACTTACTGCTTCCTGAGTGAATTACAGCCAAAGATGCTTCAATTTTCTTCACAAAACCAAAATTTCCCATCTCTGACTCCGGTATTTACAAGTGATTTTTTAAACAATGTTTTCATCATGTCATTTCTGTAATCAAAAGATTGAAGTCTTATTGACCAATACACAGTATTGATAACCCATACATAGGAAATTTATTCAAACGTAAAGAGATACCAGCCTTAGTAATTCCTACCTCCTCTCATCCTCCTCAGCTGCTATTCTAATTTGTTACCTTCCTCAACTCTATGCCTGTCTCTGCTTCTAAAGGAAAACAGATTACTTCTCACTTTGCCTCCCACCACGGCAAGAAACTTGAAGTCAGCAGGTGTGGATTAGTTCACAGTTTTGCCTTTCCATACTTACCTACATTGATTACAATTATGTTCCTCTCTTCCATCACTGAAGACAAGCTATTTCTCTACTTGTTTATTGCTAATTCCTATCTTTGTCTGGGCTATGAGTCACATCCTCTGCAGACTCTTCAAGTATTGTGCTCCATCAGTTATCCCCTCCCTCTTTTCTGTTTTCTCTCTCCCTCTCTTTCTAATGGTCCTTTCTCCTCATCTTATAGACTGGCTGAAGTCTCTCCCATCATTACAAATCCTTACTTTTCCCAACCTTCTGATTTTCTTAGTCAAGACACTTAAGTCGGTTGTCTACACGAAACTCCACTTACTTATTTGGTATTTGTATCTCAACCAATGGAATCTGGTTTCTGTGTCTACTACTCCTCCAAACTCTACTGGATACTCTATTGGAAACGGTCACCAATTGTGGTGGGCAGATTTCTTAAGAAAAACCCTCCAATGATCTCCAATGCCTGGTACTCATGCCCTTGTGTAATCCCCTCCCCTTGCGTGTGTTTCTAACCAATGGAATATTGCACAAGTGACAGGCTGTCTCTTTCATAGTTAGGTTTCAAAAGATGGTGACTTCTATCAGCCTTTTTCTATTGCTTTCTTGGCTCTTGTGATTTGACGAAGCAAGCAGCAATGATGGAGAGCCCATGTGGCAAGGAGCTGAGAGCAGCCTCTGGCCAATAGGCAAAGAGGAACTGAGGCCCTCAGTCCAACAACCAATCAGGAACTAAATCCTGCCAACAACCACGTGAACTTAGAGGTGGATTCTTACCAATTTGAGCTTGTACATGAAACCCAGTTCTAGCTGACACCTTGACTGAAATCATCTAAGAATCTGACAAGATGCCTTGCTCCTGTTCTTTTTTTTTTCAATGTTGTTGCCAACTTTTATCTCTTAGCATTGTATCATATTTCCCCAATGATGTTAAAATTATTTAACAACATTTTTTTTTTTGGAAAATGGAGAAGTATTTTAATAGTCTTTTCAGAGAACTATGAATAGTCTTCTTTGATACTACCCCAAATTTCAACAAGTGTTGGTTCCTTACAGATTAATTGCTGTGGAATCTAGAAACATATCATTGTGCTTATCATACTCTGTTACATTAAAATCTATCGGTTTATCTTGCACATTGAATGAAACTTTTACCCATGCATGATCTTCTTTTCTTTTTTTTCTTTTTTTTTTCCTGTTCTTTACTCACAAAAACTGTAAGAGAATAATTGTGTTGTTTTGTGCTGCTAAGTTTTGGGGTGATTTGGCATTATACAGCAATACATAACTTCTACACAATCAATTCTATATTTTCAAATTGATTAAAAATCTCCCAGATTTTATCTAACTTGACTTTTATATCATCTTATTTTAATGACCACTTTTCTCCCTTCTTAAATTCCTGTTTTATTTGTTTTTCATGTCTTCACTGTCTAATTCTTTATACTTACCTTTCTTTATCTCCAAACATCCTGAGCTTTCTCCACTGAATTCTCTTCTGTGTACACATTAAATTTTGAGAAGGTTAAGCATTTGCCTTCTGTGTCCTTCTTCTTTCCCTCTATGTCTCCTCTCCTTTGGATCTCAAACTCCTGTGATTTGGGCTAACATCTTCATTCTGAGTACAAATCTAATTTATCTAATTGCTTACTATACATGTCTACTAGATATTTCTACTTCAAACTCAATATATGTAAAATGAAATGCGTTATTATCCCCTTACTAATGTATCTTAAGAACCATATCTGACTAGTTATCAAAAGCTTGGCAGTTTCATCTCTTGTATCCAAACTTTGTCTACCACTTCTAATGCCTTTGCCTTGGTTGTGGCCCACATTACTTTCAAGCTGAATTGTTTCAATACTTCCTGACCAAATTCCTGCTTCCATAATTATCCTCCTTACATCATTCTGAAGGAGAGCAGGTTATCCAAAAGACAAACCTAATTATGTTACAGATCTGCATAAAATTCTTCGATGACACATAGCACCAACAGATAAAAAACAAGAAAGATCCTCCTTATCTACTCTCAAGTGTTTTTTTCTTCTAGCCATCCTGATCCCTCTCTTTCTCTTTCCCACTCCATTGACACTTCCCAACTATTAATAGTTCAGTATTTATTTAGTTTATTAATAGTTGCCTGAACACAGTATGTTATTTCAAGACCTAAGATTCTTTCTGCTACAAATTCTACCCCCTAGCCCCATACCTAATTACTTGAAAAACTCCTGATAATCCAATTCTGCCATCATTTCTATTCAGTATATTTAAGTTAAGTAAACATATGTGGATAAATATTTACACACCATGCATGAGACGAGGTCCTGGTGAAACTAACAATAATCTAATGGAGCATGGAGTGTTAGAAAATTTAAAATTTCATGGTAGCACCATGCCCAGAGTTTTGTGAGAAGAGCCATTAACCTAGATAAGAAATTCAAAGAAGATCTTCTGAAAGTGA
Organism: Homo sapiens; assembly: GCF_000001405.40. Classification (NCBI taxonomy): domain Eukaryota; kingdom Metazoa; phylum Chordata; class Mammalia; order Primates; family Hominidae; genus Homo; species Homo sapiens. Next base: position 79,461,836 of record NC_000004.12, on the reverse strand, counting down.
TTTGTCATTAGTTAAAAGTAAGACATAAATAAGTGGGGTGTTTTAGATATTACAAGCAGTTTAGTAATTTGATCTTTTCTCCCTGCATATCTCTCTTTTCTCTCTACCAAGAAAAGGCTAAATATTCCTTGTAAGTACCACATCTTTCTTTAACACCCTTCCATTGTTGTATTTTGCACACTCAAGTGGTCACCATTAGAATTATAATATTCTTAATTTGATTGTGAGTTTTTGCAAGTTGGGACTAAAGCTGAGTTATCCCTGTAGTGAAGCTACTGGTCCCCGTAGCTTCAGTGACTAGTGTAATTTTGGTAACTTTATAGATGCTCAGTAATTGCTTATTTTATTCAAAGTCAGGTTTATTGAAGTATAATTTACATAAAGTAAAACAAAATTTATATACAGTAAAATGCATGTAAGTTAACTGTACAATTCAATGATTTTAATAGTTGCCTCTTGATTAAATTAACTTTGCAATCTTTTGTCATCTGTTATTTCTCTGACAATTTTCTATGCATTAAAGAATAAGACCCAACCACACAGTTTCTTATAAATTGGATGGGCTCAATAGTTTTTTAATAAATGAACAAGCTCACCAAAATGTTTCCAAACTATCACTTCATTGTTCATAAAGGGAGAAAAATAATAAAAAATGTAGTAAAGTTAAAAAATATATATACTCATGTTACAGGGTACTGACAACCCATGTTAAATAGTAAAGTAAAAAAAATATATATATGTAGTAATGTTACAGGAAACTGACAACCCATGTTAAATACTCAAAAATAATTTTCCTATGTCCCAGAATCCAGACTGGTCAAAACTATTTTTAAATCAAAACTGAATTCTTTGGCATTTGTAATTTTATACAGTAATTTGCTAATAAGCTGCTTCAGAATCAAAATATCACTTACCTTCTGCTCACCACAAATTTAGAAATTACTCACAAGTAGGCAATTACCTGTGCCACAAATCACCTACAAAAATTTGGGCTGGGTTTTTGCCAATCACTATGCCAATTAATTACCCCACAAAGACTGGTTGGCACTGGATCAAGTAAAGCCTCATTGATATGCAAGGCCACTCCTATTAGAAAGAAAACGGGAGAAAAAAACAATAAGATACTTAGTTCAAGCAAAGCTGGTGGGAAGCGAAAATATATTTCTTTAATGTTTCTTGGACTCTCACAAATTTCTAAGGACTCTAGTCCCACCTGGATAATCAGAATTGGCACACAGTTCTGCAGATGGATCAGGCCAACGTCATCCGAAAAGAAAGCAGAGACCGTAGCTGCCACACAGGTGTTTGGTACTGGGTTCGCCCCCAAACAGAAGGTAGTCTTGGGTGATGGTAGTGGAAGGAAAGAAATGAACTAGTAACATAAATCATAATTTTATAGAGTGATATGTGTGTCAATTTTCCATTTAAGATAAACGAACACTGGGAACCATTGCACACTGGAGTTGATCCTCTTCGATTTGTAATCCATTTTTGTTAACAATGGAAGTTTAGAGGAGAAATGATATTAACACTTTGCTAGTCTAGGGGATTTTTATCTGTGCCAAAAAACTGAAGTGGTACATTTTGTCCATGTACCATCAACTTCTCTCGTTCCTCCTCTCCTGCATTTTTTATGGTTTAAGTGAAGACATATTTTCAACAGAGCCTCTATTTCTCAATACTCCTTTGGTATTTTGGAAGATATTTCATCTTAATAAAGTCACTGGAAACCAGAAATAATTAAAGAACTCTGGACTTTAAATCCGAGTTACTCTAGGATAAAAACTATAGGGGATATTTGAATGGGTACAAGTATATATAAATCTCATTAAAATGATTAATAAATACATAATCAAATATAAAGATGCATTCTACAGCTTATTTTTAATAAAAAAAAGTGATTTATATTATCAGCAACTTAATTCAAAAAACAACTTTTAGGGAATGTTATAGACCCTTCTATTAAATTTTCTTAAAAGATGAGAAAATGTGTCCCCAATAATTTTATAGTGGTTGACACATAATAGATGCTAAATAAATGTGAAAGAACAAATGCCATAAGTGCATATTAAAGCAAAAAGCAGGTAATGACTTCTTGTACCATGAGGAAGTGAAACTGATAACAGGTTATATGAATCAAAGACAAATTAAACATAGTACAATATATTTTTCTGACAATTATATTTTATCATCATCCTTTACTTATGTTTGCATGGCAAAATATCTCATGCAGGTAATTTTCTTACGACACACACACAAATAGCTCTAAAAGCGTATTCAAGTCACTCACTTCTTACAATACAGAAACTTGTTTGCAGTTTTAGAAAAATATGTTTCTTAACTTCTACAATTCTCATTAAGGTGTCACAGATTTAGGGGCCAGATTTCATTAAGATGCCAGCTTGAAGTATCATTGCTTTTTTGATAATTCTTTCTTCCGCTTGAAGAAAACTGCAAACATATGACCTAGGAATGGAAGATTCACCCTAAGATTATAACAGAGGTCCATTTATCCTTTTCACATCTTGCTCCAGGAATATCTCTTTTTTCCTTCTATATTAATTCCTTGAATACCCCAAAATATTGTCCATCTCTAAAAGGAGCATATAATAAAATCTTAGATGATAATTCATGCAAAAACATGAACACATTCACAATGAAATACCAATAATCCAGTGTCATATAAAGGCAGAATTTCCAGGCAATTGGAGAAGAAACAACCTTCAGGATTAATTTTTTCACACAGCCCAAGAGAACAACAGCCCAAATCAAGACACTTGTTAAAACAATTTGGGCAAATCAGAGTCCAGAAACATGCAAGAGAGAGGATTAAAGAAGTTAGAAGCTCATAAAGTAAGGCACATATATAGGAACCAAAATGCTGTCAGCATTATCTGGCAGAACAATGAGGAAAATCACAGATTCAAGTATATCAGAGAAGGACAATATAAGCACCAGCATTAGGGCACTGGTAAGAAATACAGATGCTCCTTGACTTCTGATGGGTTTACATCCTGATAAACCCATTGTAAGTTGAAAATATCCTAAATCAAAAATTCATTAATACACCTAACCTACTGAACATCATAGCTTAGCCTAGCCTACCTTCAATGTGCTCAGATCACCTACATTAACCTACAATTGGGCAAAATCTTATAACACAAAGTCTATTTTATACTAAAGTGTTGAATATGTTATGTAATTTATTGAATACTATACTGAATGCAGATCACTTTTGCACCATCAAGTCAAAAATCATAAGCCCAACAATCATAAATCAAGGACTGACTTTGTAAGACAGTTTATACACTTCTGAGCAGAAAGAAAGAAGCTAACTTGAATCACCAAAGTAAGTGGAAGACCACAGCTGGAGTGAGAGAGAACCAGGGACTATAAAGTCAGCTCCGGACAAATCAGGAACTAGGCTGGATCAGAAAACATTCACTCCATTAACTATAAAAGAAAAGGTAGCATAGGCTCTGAGAAACACACTACCCAAAGTGATACAACATGCTCAATATAGCTGAGAGGAAATCTTTCAGCATTTTCTCACATGGATCGCCCCATCCTTCCTGAATAATGCTTTCCCAATAAAGACTCTCTCTTTTTTTTATTCTAGAAAAAGTTGAAAGTCAAATTTCAATGAGAATTTCTTCATGACTAAGGACAACTGCCCTCCTCTATCATAAATAGAAATGTGCATTTAGGTGAAATGGGACTGAGAATTTATTTGATGGCAGTTTTAAGCACTAGTTCTTGAAATTATTACTGTCTCCTGATGTAGTCTGAGAAAGATATATTGACACTATAAGCTCTGACACTAGAGTGATTAGCAGACATTACAGCCTGTTTTGGAGTATTCATAGGGGATCTTAATTCACACAAAACAATCTGCAAAGAAAATCCCTAATAAGGATTCTCTATTACTGAACACCTCATCACCTGAAAAAAGTCTTATGCTGACATTTTCATTCAATGATTAAAAAGTTTCGAGATCCTTTAAAGCCTATTTCTGTTATATTTAAAACATCATATACCATTGAAAGAAATCGGCTCTATTTAAAAAAATTGACTTGGAAATTAAGTAACTCTGTTTGAAATTTCTACTGCAGACAAATAAAATCAGCAAAATTTAATAACAAAAATGAGCAAATCTTATTCATATGTCTTTCTTGTATAGTCAACTGAGCAAACAATATTGCTGCTAAAAATAACATTAGACCAGTCCCATAATATAAATGCAGGGGATGAAAAATTACAGTGAAATGAAGTAAATTTAAATCACTGATTCAAACTATTTTTAAAAAATTAAATGAACATTTTAAAAAATTTCTAGAATTGCACTATTGATGACACAATTGTATCCTTTGCCAAAATGAGGCCATTACCCCTATCTCCATTTCATCTTTTTCTTCTTCTCTATAAAGCTAATTAATTATTGAAATGGCTCTTCAATGCTTATGCTAGAAAAGCAATGCTGGACAGAACGTTGAATAGATGTCACTCCTGGGGTCCAACTACCTGAATTCAAAACCTGTCTCCACCAGTTAGAAACTTAGTAATCGTGGGAAAGTCACTTAATAGTTTCAAACTTATATTTATTGTAAGAACTAAACATAATCAGCATTTTTAAGACACCCAGTGAATTTTAGCTATTATTATTAGATATTAGATACTGTTGTTTGGGAACAAAGTAAGTCGGGGTAGTTTGCTTTTGTCTTCTAGGAGATCACCTGCTAAAAATTTACACATAAAAACAACATAGAAACAAGGGAAAATAAAATATAGATAAATGCAAAAAAGATACCAGAGAAAACAACATTTCCTTAAATGGATATGGGTAATCTTTGAGATTTTACTAAAGCTTGTAATCACTCTTCTACCGTTTATAGCCTCAAGCTTTACAGCATTTGGATCTTTCTCTTGGTGTTCTCTGTTAACACTAAGGCTTGAAATATTACAAGACCTACTGGGATCTCATTCAGTGCAAAACTAAACAATAGGAATTTAGTACCCAGTGTAGGAAACTGACTGCTCTTTGATGGAAGCAAGTGAACGAATTTTTCTCCTTTCTTCCCACTATATAAACTATATGTGGATTCAACACCTTCACTGACTCCCTGAAGAGCTCTTCCAAGACCAAGTAGTCATCTTGTCATGAAGTTATGATCATCTTGGTAATGCACTTATTTATATTTATTCTTTCCCCTTTCTACTTTATTTCCATTTTTTCTCACACCTGTTTACTTGGAATGGCATTGCCCAATAACTTGTTAACACACAGCTTTTGATTCAGGTTTTATTTCCTAAGAAACCTACTCTAAGACAGTAGAGAACCAGAATGACCCTAGAAAGAAGATCCTCAACATATTTTGGATATGAATTGCCCACTAGTCTAAATTGCTGGTAGTAAGTGGGGGTGGTGATTACCCTTGTAATTAACTTCTGATTGAGATGAAGTGCTGATAAAAAATGAGTTTATGGGATATGCAGTGGTTGTTGGACTTATAGGTGTGGTAAACATCATCAGTGCCCTACCCTTAACCGCTCACATTTTCAGTGTGCTCTGCCATCTTCCAAGTGACTGCGTCTGCATCTATGAGCCTACACGTGTTTCCTCATGATGGTGGGAAGTGTTAATGCTATGTGCACAGCAGATTGAAAATGTCAAGAATTAACTCTTCTACAGGAACCTTCAAACAAAGACTCTTGAGAATTGCTATATAATCCCCCCAGTTCCCTTGTCCTTGGTTGGAATAATTTTTGAGGTGTGGATTTTACCATTTCCCAAGGACAGCCTGTGGGATAAGCTCCAGATGCCTACTATAGTAGTTGACTTAATCATGCACCCCTTATTTTGCACATTTCCTTTTCTACTGGTGAAATATGTACTTTCTAATAGAATACTTGCACTCAGTCCTGGTTTCATGCCCTGCTTCTGGGAGAATCTAAACTCAGACAATAATTTTGGTGGAGATAATGATTATAAGGAATGCAATGTGTGGGATGGGTGTCTTTGATGGCATTAGATGCCTTGTAAAAAAATTGTGCAAACAATTAACTGTCAATTAATGCACACACTGGGAAAGCCTGAGGACACGTATGGTAACTTGTCTTCTTTAAGCTGGAGTTGACAGGATAATGCCATGGAACTGGGCTCCCTAATATCTGCAACTCTAAATCATCATAACACTAATAAAGACACACAGTGTCTTAGTGGGCTTCTTTAACGTTTACTAGTAGCATAAGCCACACATGGGAAGACTAATCTAACCCATTTTTGGGGTAACTTGGAAGACTACCACTTTCAAATGGGGTCAATAGCAAGAAAGGGTTTTGTAGTCCAAGCTTTGTTGCAAGCATCCTTGTTGCTCAGACCATGTTATCTAGCATACCAGTCATGCTAGAAGAATCACTGACGTGTAAAGAAGTAATCTGGAATCCCTGGCAAGCTGCAATAGGAAAACTGCGGCGCAGATTATTAAGAGTTTTAGGGGAAGGCCATGCCTTCCGTGGCTATAAATTCTTCATTTTTCAAACAGTTTCTGATAATACCCTATTACAGCACTTGATAACTGCAGATTGTGATTATTACAGGCTGCAGTAACTTTGGTAAGAAATAGACATGAAAATAATTGTGCTAGAGTTTATTTTTAACTTTTTTTTCAAGATTTTCTTTAGTGTAGTTTTCATATTGTTTCTGTAATAGGCATAAGGTAAAAATAAGTGTATAAACAACGCTAAATGAGATGACATAAAGACAGCATGGTCTGCATGTGGTAAGTTAGAAGCTGGGGTTGTTTTATGGAATTAAAGATGTGCTTCCTTAACATAACTTCAAATGGGGGAAAGCTTCCAGAGAAATTAGTTAGAAAAGGCATTTTACTGCTAATTTCACTACACTTGTCCCGAATTCTCACGAATCCTGCTCCACAGCTTTCTCTCTGGCATCTTCCTTTCTGTAGAAGACAACAGTCAACCCCTTCAGAGAAACCAGAAAAGCCAGTAAGTGGCTGGAGTTTTCTACTCAGCACCACCATCAGTGTGTGCTAGTTCTGTGATTTGTAAGCTGAAGTAATAATTCTAACCCTTGCACAGTAAAGTCATACAGATCAGAAAGGGAAATATTTGCAAACTGTCAAGTGGTACATAGGCCTGTTAAAACAATGGCCATAAAAGTAAAAACTTTGTAGTCTGGAGAAGAGAGAATTGTACCAGAGATAATGAATATATTTGACTCTGGAAAACCAATTTAATTTTCTAGTTTCCCTTACCAGCTCTGCTAACTCCAGAGTTATAAAGAATATTGAAGGAGATATTAAAGATGCTCTGAATAAAATAATAGAAATCCAGGGTTTGTTTTTTTTTTTTTAATCACTATTGATCCCTGCTTTCCACAATGAAGAAAGTCCTCAGGTACAACCAGCTTCTGAGGGATATATCTGATTTCCTTACATATTTATTTCTCACTTTTACCTTTATTCTTTTCTCTTCCCTCTTTCCCTTACTCTCTTCCTTCTTATCTCCCTGTTAATTCTTTCTATTAAATGAAAAGGAAAAAAGCATATTTACCACAAATATTCCAATACAAAATTTATTTCTAAAGTATTCTCTCTCCACTGGCAACATTTATCCTTAAGGGAGGCAGAAAGAGGACAGAGATAAAACAAAAGACACAAAAGCAAACAAACAACAAACAAACAAAGACATTGTCCTTGTCACTTCCCTTTTGCGAATGTTGGGGAGCAAAGATTTCTATTTTCTTTTCAAGGTCATTTCATATGTGTTGTCATTTGCTTGCAGCATGATAGTCTCTTGCTCCCTGGTGCTTTCTTAAGTTTAAATTAGTTTCCAATAAAGATGCTTTTGCACCTTGCAGGGGGAAAGCATTGTTTTTAATACACTTGTAACTAATGCTGCTGGTCCTTGGGGAGTTTCAAAGGACCTCAAAGGCAATAGTTCTCTACCCAGGAGCAAAGAAGCCATTACAGCTTGTACTGGAAGATTTAATAGGTGTCATAATTTATCATGTAAACCGAAAAGTGTTTCTTAATTAAGTGCGTACATTAATGAATTTTTTAATTTGATCCCTGTAAGTACCTTGCTATACTAATTGCAATATTCTACACATTAGTCATCCGCTGTTGCCCTTGGCTATTTTCTACCCTGAGAGGAAGAGAACGAGAGCTTTTCAGTTAAAGTTCATTTAACTCTTTCCACCCAACAAATTAGATTTAGTCTTACATTGGAGTGACAGCTGTAGTTGAATTTCTCCGAGCTTTCACAGTACTTGCATGGGAGAACCAGCTTACATTTCTGTTATTTTCAAATAATAGGAATTTGGGGTAACTGGCCAGAAACTGAAGCCCTGCCCTTTCCTAAAGGGTTACTTATTTCAGTTCTCTTAAGACTGAAGAGTTTTATAAGGGATAAGATGTAGAAGGGACACATTTTCTTCTATTCTGCTGTAAGAGTCTGACATAGCATGATTAATGAAAGGCTTAAATTTGTATAATACGTCCCAGACCCAAAAGAATTAAAGGAAAAAATAAAACTTAGGTGTATTTACTTGACTAGACATTAGATCTACAATAAATACAGTGTTATTTGTAATAAAAAGGAAGTACTTATGAGGCCGAAAAGCACTATTATCATACACTATGGTACAATATTATTGTAACTACGAAAAAAGTGTTTACAGGGAAAATATTTAGAAAATAATATGTTCAACCATTAGAATGATTGCATTCTGTTGATAAAGTTACGGGTAAGTTTTTTCTTTCTCTGTTTTCTAAATATGATGTTCATGTGTTATCTAATAGGGAAAACCCCTTTATTTTTTTAAAAAATAGCAAATATTATTGTATGAGAAGACTTTAGGTTTCAGACTGTTTCAGTTAGAGATACTCTTCATTTAAATAGCTATTATATAGATTTTTAATATTTTTCATATGTTCAAATTTGTCCACAGTTGAGAGTTAACAAAAAAAAAATCACCGTTACAAGGTATTATTAAAGGATAAAAAGTGAAAAAAAAGAAAACCTTTAACTTTTTTTTCCTTAAGTGGACACGTTAGTTTATTCAGAAGAAAACAATTGTGTTATAATAAATTGTATTTGGTTTTCTTACAGTTAGAGACACATAATTTTCTCTTTTATGTGCTATCTACAATAACCTGATTGAGCTGCATATGAAAATCAACAAATGAAGAAAAGTAGAATATTATTTAATTGACACAGGTACCAATACCTTACTTTTTATATATTTACGTTTTACAAATAACTCTCATACCAAGAGAACTCATTTTGAATCAGTTCCGATATATTTAGCCATGGATTTTTAAAAAGAGATTTAAATCGAGTCTCTATTATTGTGTCACATGAATAGAATTGTGAAATAAGCTACAGGATGCCCAGTTAAATTTGAATTTCAGATAAATAATGAATAATTTTTAATGTAAATATATTGCATACTATTCGCTAAATCTGTCAACCCTACAAATGAAAGAATTAGGATGCATCAGAATCAACTAGATAATTTCTGTTATTTTGTTGTCGTTGCTGCTGTTGTTGTTGTTTCATATGCACACCTCACTCCAGAATTTTACTCTTCAGGGGTTGAGGTCCACTGATCTAAAAATAAAAGATTATTACTCCAAATGATTTTTCATAGGGACTGCAATCTAGTATTTGGGAACCACCGTTGTGCAGCAGAGCTACTCACACTTTAATGTACTTAAGGATCACTGAGGGATCATATTAAAATGCAGATTCTCATTTGTAAATTGGGTTGGGTGTTGAAGGTCCCCATTTCTACCAAATTCCAAAGTTATGCTGATGTTCCTTGTCCTTAAATCACATTTCAAGTAGCTAGAGAGTTTAGATGATCTCTGATGTCTGTGTTAGAATTTATTGATTCTATGATTCTGTTTTTACATACATTATTTCATTTTATTAAAATTGTTGTGTATGATGACAAATTTCTCATTATCGAATTCTTATGCAGTACATCGCAACTCAGAAAATTCAGTATGGTATTATAACATTAGACTTTCATAATTTTTGTCTTGACCAGATAGTAACAATAAAAGTTGATCCAAAATATCAGGACTATAATATCATTCTTCATTTTTGAGATTTGTTTCTTTTTTAATGAGCACTTATTGTACCCCTGCTATGTATCAGGCTCCACTGTTGATCAGCAAAGGAAACTATTCAGAGAAATCTATAGGTTTATTTAAAATGGGAAAAGTTGAACTACGTTTCTAACCTTGTGGTTTCACCACTCTTTCTCATCATCTAGTGGTCAACTTGCTCCTTTCTTGGACTGTTTGTACTGGAGCCCTCTTTTCCTATGCATCTTTATATAGTTGGCTCTTTCTCAGCACTGAAGTCTCAGGTCACAATTTCAGCACTCCTTAGAGAGGGTTTCTCTAACTGCCTCTAGGCAGAAAAGTACTCTAGTAGATACCAGCCTACCACTGTTTTATGATATTACTATTTTTAATGATCTGAAATTCTCTTATTTATTTATGCATTTATGTAACCATGTAAGTACATGCTATTTTCTGTACCCTGCCCCACAAGTGAACAGCAACCTTGTATGTTTTTTCCACTGTGATATTTCATAAGTACTTATGAATTAGATGAGTCTTTTTAAATCTAAGCTCAAGTCAATTGAAATTTGCATTTATATAAGTATGAAGTAGAAACTTCAATAATGATAGGGCAGTTTTTGTAAGAGTTTTGTTTCTTTTATGCAAGACCATATGGATAATCTAGTAACTGTCTAATTCATTGTTTGATCTCAGAAATATTTGTGTATATTATTATTGGGGTCACATACAAATAGAATTTATATTAAATTGGCCCTCTATATTCATAATGCCATTCTGAATATTTTGTGTGATATTTTTCTAAATAATTCCAGAAAAAGTGAGGAAATTTCAATAAAAGCCAATATAACAGTAAAAGTATTTTTCTTTATACTCAAACAACTGGAATTAGATTAGTAGAACAGATAGAAGATGAACAATAGAGCAACACAGAGAAATTCAACATCATTGGCAACTTTTAATTTTTAAATGGCAAGAATAAAAATGCTTACATAAAAGTAGCCTCAATAAGTGCAGTAGAACAATGTCTGGCCTAACTTCCATTTGATAGTTTGTTCAATGATACACACATGTTTTTAAAATATAAAAAGTAACTCGATGATTTTTAGCCCATGTATTTGAACATTCGTATTTCTGGAATTAAGGTTATAGGGTACATAATTACTGACTAGACTAGCAAATCTCCTCATTATAATTTAGGCTCTAATATATGGAAGCTGGTCTCCTAATTCACTCACACTGTCACTTAATCAGAACCCACATCTCAGATCCTGACCACCCAGCTCCAGAAGCTATTGGCCTAATTATTGGCCAGGTCAACAAGACTCACAAGCGACTCAGCCAGCATGCTCCAGAAAGCTGAAAACTTCATTTTCAGTGTCTTCCAACTGTGCTCTGAATACATTATTGATTCGTTTAGCTGGAAGTTCTCCTGCAAGCTTATGTATGCAATTAAGTGGATTACAGGGAACATGTTAAACAGCCTAAGAACTTCTTAGGCTGGAAAGGCTTTGGGCATCAGCACTGATTCACTCACTCAACTCAGTCACTCACAAGTGAGACCAAGGAAATTATAGCAACCACACAACATTCTGTACTTCATGAAAGAAAAGCTGTCCTTGTGGGTGGCTGTCTCTTGCTTTGAAAAAAATTCAAAGTTTTGCAAAAGCTGTTTGAAACAGATTGTTCCCTCACCTAGCCTGACATCATTGTCTATTGTGCTAGCATGAAAAAAAAACAGTGTGCACCAACTAAATCCTTACTATTTTAAAACACCATTTATACCACCTAGGTATTTGATGTTCAGCATAATGCCTCCTTGAAGAGATTTCTTTCTCTCTACTTTCTAAATACCTTAATGAATCTTTGACTCATTTCTATAGTTAATCATACAGTATATACCAATAGACTAATGCAACAAGGTAGTATTAATATTAAATATAAATATGAAGCTCCTTAGTTAAGGATTCTGATATTACAGTCAAGAGTTTTGTTCCTTAGACCTTCTTATCTGTACCTAAAAGCAAAATGTAAATAAAATAAAAATGAAAGTAACAATCTGGCTTGTAGTGTTAATTAAAAACACATAAACAGACTACAGTAACAATAAGACTTCAAAGCGTCTACTTGATTATTACAGTCAAGCCCAAGAATTACATGAAGAAAGCCTCATTGACATGATTTGCATGTCTTTAAAATGATCCATATAAAATATAGGATTTTTCAGGAACAGTAATAATGTCTTCAGGAACAGTAATAATGTCTGGGAAAATGGGACTTTGATGTACACCCTAACTGTTGTTGTTACTGAATGTAAACACAAGACCAAAAAGCCATTTTGAATATATTGGAGTACAGTTATTAGTGATATGTTAACATGCTGCTACTCTTTTTGTGAATTTTGGTTGGCAGTAACTGCAGCCAACTTAAATCTCCTTAGAAAAAAAGAAGACTGAAGAAAAATTATGTAACTTATTTTTGGTTTACCTTTAGTTCTAAGTGAAACGGTATAAAGCAGGATGAAAAACCAATAAGCTATTAGAATGATAATAACAGCGGCAAATCTATTACACTCCAATATCTGAGATCTGCTGCTTAGGCACTAGTTGCAATTGAAAAACACTGGATTGAGGGAGAAACTGACTTTAGCCTAATGGTTTAATATTGTGAGGCATAGCTCTCTTTCTTCTATCAGATCACATAAAAACTGGATATGCTATCAGTGAATAATGGCTTCCCTGGTTCTCTGAATAATAATGTTTTAAGATGGTAAAAGAATCTCAGGTTCTTCTCTCATCTGTAGAAAACATTTGTTATTCCTTTCATGGTCTTCAGTATCTTGAGTGAATACAGGTTATCATATGTCTTATGTGAATATTATTGTGTGAATATGAACTATTCTATAAATTTGGTATTGGTGAATCCAGGATAAAAGTTAAGATGAAATAAGGCTTTTCTTGATAATTACCTTTGTATAAAAATCGAATTGGATATTGGTCTATATCATTTTTAAAAATTAATTCTTAATTTAATTTTTTTAAAAAGAGAGGAAGATGAATTCTACTTGAAGTAGAAAACAACAAATAGGAACTGGAAGAAATTTAAGCCTACCCTGTTCCATCACTAGACACTAAATTTTGTTAGGGCAGAGAATATGTCTATCTTATGTATTTCTTAAAGGAAGATTTTGATACTAGATTAGGTTCATGCAAATAATTTTTGAGAGTATATAGTCCTATTATACAGATACAAGTGAAATGAGTCACAGACTTCTGCTTTTAGAAATCTTTCTTTTATTAACTGATTTCCCATTGAACCAGACTACTGGGAATATTTTGACATAAGCTATTTCATACCTTTTCTGAAAATATATGCAAGTCAACACAGTCCGTTAAAAATGATAGAAGAAGTGGGCATACCATTGGTAAAGAAAGCTCTATCGCCAGAGCTAAGTTAATAAAATATCTACTTCCACTTACCAAGAAAAATCTAAAAGCAGTATTGTTCTAGAATTATTGAATGCTGGATTTGAAAGGAAATACATTCAGAGAGTCTTTCTCTCTTCATTCCATGTAAAACTCCACCTAAATCATACAAGAGATGTGCATCTATTCAAAGCCTCAGGAAACATTGCTTTAATAGAGTTGAGTTTAATCTCTCTCCCCTATTGCAATAGTCTTGACTGTAATTGCAACAGTCTTGAATAAATCTTTCTTGCCTATTTTACTCTATTCAGTACAATTTTTCTTTGTGCCCTGAAGAGCTTCTTTCAAATTATATATTTTTGGCAGTATGAAAACATCAGGTTTTAATTCAAGGCTGTCATATTAAGGTTCTCCAGAAACAACAAGTGGATGTATACATATGTAGAAAGAAATGTAAGCAATTGGCTCATGTGATTAGGGAGGCTGAGGTGTCCCAGGATCTTCAGAGACACCAAGATGGAGACCCAGGAGAGCCAATGGCGTAGTTTCAGTCTAAGTCTGACCGTGTAGTTCTACTCCAAGTTCAAAAACCTAAGAACCAAAAGAACTGATGGTGTAGTTCCAGTCCAAAATTGGTGTACTTTCAGTCTGAAAGCTGGTGGCTCAATAACGAAGAAGAGCCAAAGTTTCCATTTGAGCCTGAAGGCAGGAAAAACTAATGTCCCAGCTTACACGTAGTCAGTAAAAGGAGAGTCAACATTTTTGTTCTATTAAAGCCCAATTGATTGCAGAGGCCTCACTACATTAGGAAGAGCAATCTGCCTTACTCAGTCTACTGATTCAAATGTTAATTTTATCCATAAGCACCCTCCAGATACATGCAGAATAATGTCTGACCAAGTGTCTGGGCACCAGACAAGTTGACACATGGAATTAACTATCACAGCTCTGTTTAAGAGAAATTGACTTGAGTTTATTATTGTGAAATATATTTTATATAATTAGAACAAAATGTTTTTCCCATGAATGATATTTTAACTATGTAAAACTTAAAAAATCAATATAGCACAACCAAAAAAGTGTAGGTGAGAGTAAGATGTACTAAGAATATTTGTCATTATGGGAATTTGTTTCACGTGCCTTGTAGAAGTTATTCAAACTCACCCAAAAATTTGATTTTCTGCAAAGCTACAAGAAAGTCTACATGCTAACCTTTAGTGATTCATTTTATTATTCATGTAAATCAAATGATTTATCAATAAGGTGAAAGGATTTTACTTACTAAAATATAAATATTCACTATACAATATAAGCAAATATTCTATCTAGAAATCATTTGCCATTTTTCACATTTTATAACAGAAAATTCAATGATTTCATTTTGAACTTTTTGTTCTTCTGTTATCTGTTTCCAGTAAACCATAGCAACTGTAACTAAAATCCTTGAAATATGCCAATACACACCATACTTGATGCATAGTACAGCTACTTCTAACATATTACACAATATTTGTTTATTCCTAAGGTTTGATGAAGATTATGTTTAATCTTCAAAATCTGTGGAAAAACAATTAAAAAGTTTTTTACATTTAGTTCTCATTTGCCAAATTTCCTGGCCTTTCTTGGGACTTTACTTTAAGATGTAAATTAGATGTAACATGAAATTAGCAATTGAGTCACATTCACTATAGGGCCAAGAAAAGCCCCGGTTGGAATTGACACCAACAGTTGAAGATGCCACTCTAATCTAAGTAGTTGAAAAATCATTGTTTTCCCATGTGGAAGTGAATTTACCTTTGCTTACTGTAAATCAAGGATCTCAAGATTATTTTAGAAATTAGTGGCCATTCATGGTCTCTTTATACTTCTCAACTTTGCTGTTTTGATTTTGAGCCAGAGAAAACATCTACTGGTCCCCTCCACTGCTGAGAACTGAGAGACTGATCATGTTCCAATTCTCCTCTAGCAGTCATTTTCAGAATTTATATTTTTTTTCTTTCTCTAATCTTCTGTGGTTACTAGGGATCCGGAAAGAGTTGTTTGTTCTGTTCCCATTAACTTTTGATTCTCCAAAGTTCTGCATCATGAAAACCTGATAAATCGTTCTTGTCCCTCATTTAGATCCAGACACATTCACAGTACGAAGCCGCAATAAATGTACCTACACATCAAATCCACATACACATACCTTGTGTCATTCTTTCTTTCTGTGTTGTCAACCTGATTAGTCTTCTATTAATGGAGAGAAAAAGAAGAAAAAAGCTATAAACAGACATTAATAAAGTCACTAGTCAGCTTGAGTAAAGATATGGGTTTATTGTTTGTCTTTTTAGTTAGTTAAAAGAAAGAGAGCAAGGTATCAACTATGCAAAGACCAAAGAGACCCCAATATACCTTAAATATATAAATATTTAAGCAGATTGCCCCCACACTTTTTAACAACATACGCAAGTGTCTCCTTTAGCTCATAAGAGCCAATTTTCCCCCGTGGATTTCCAGTACCCAAAGTCTCTTTGTGGTGATTAGTGGATTCCGTGCATCCCTGGGCCTGACTCCAATCACTTTCTCCTTGAAAATTGCTGAAACTTGATGCAGCAGCACAGCACAGGGCAGGTTTTGTCACTGGGGCTTAGTCCTCATTACAGCCCAGAGACTTCAGGAGATTGTTTATGTGGCTGGAACATCTTCCTTGCGGGTGGCTAATTAGTGTTTCCCCAGGGCTTCTGCTCTGTGAATACTTAAGGGTAATCATCACCAGCTAACTGTGTGGGGAGTGTATCTAAGCAATTTTACCGAGTCAACTGACAACAGCTTGAAGTAATATTAGCCCTGTTACATGAAGACAAGTGCTCTCCACCCAGTGAAGCCGGAGACTGGCACCACTCAATAAATCACTGCAGCATCCTTGAAAGCTTAGCATCGGTTCTGAGCCATTAATTTCAGTGAGGTCTTTTGACAGGATGTTTTGAAAGCATGCAATGAAAGCATGATTTCTTGAGCTAAGTTATAAAGAGCAAATTCTTCTAAGTTATGAACCTGGCAACCCATTTAGGTCCTAGGGCTATCAAATATATCTTTTGATTTTTTTTTTAAATCAAAGAATCTTATCATTCAGTATATAGAGAATAACCCTCCTTTAAACAAGAATATAATATGGATACCTACCTAGACTCTACCTTAATAGAATTACCTGAAGTTTCAAAAACAGGTATCTGAACATTTGGATAAGACAAGATATGCATGAAATTTCCCTCTATTGTCCAAACTAATGTTACCAAAATTGCTACTTGATGACAAAATAAGTTTATCCAGAAAACTGAAAGTGAAATGTCGGAGAATAAACTTATAAAAGCTATACTAAGTTAAGCTGGGCACAGTGGCTCATGTCTGTAATCCCAGCACTTTGGGAGGCCAAGTGCCAGGATTCCTTGAGGCCAGAAGTTCGAGACCAGCCTGGGCAACATAAGCAAGATCTTATCTCTACAAAAACATTTTTTAAAAAATTAGATGGGTGTGCTGGTACACGCATTTAGTCCCACTACACAGGAGGTTGAAGTGGGAGGATCCCTTGAGTCTCCAGGAAGTCAAAGCTGCAGTGAGCTATGACTGTACCAGTGTACTCCAGCATGGGCAACAGAGCTAGACCCTGTCCAAAAAAAAAAGAACATGTTAAGAATGAGAGCAGTGACAGCAGTCTTACAAGGGCAATGTCCAATAAGAATCTTGCATTTAAGTAGCACTTTTTTTTGTTTCACAAATATTATATGTCTTACTATCAACAAGCACTCTAGTAGGTACTGGGATATAAAACATTTCGGGGAATCTCGTAGTAAAAATATGTTAATCCAGGAGATTGCAAGACAACTTTCTCTATAAAATAGTCAGTTTATCATTTCATGCAATGTTTTAAGAGTGACCACCGTCCATACCATGAGATGTATGATAATTTGGGTAAAGGGGAATGGGAGGTTGGTAAAGATATAAGAAAAACAAGACACAAATCTATGTTTGTCTCTCTGTTTGCCTATATGTCATCTGTCTCTCTATTCATCTACCATCTATTATCAATTGTGATGGTTAATACTGAGTGTCAACTTAATTAGATTGAAGGATGCAAAGTATTGCTCCTGGGTGTGTCTGTGAGGGTGTTGCCAGAGGAGATTAACATTTGAGTCAATGGGCTGGGAAAGGAAGGCCCCTGCCCCCATAACCTGGGTGGGCACCATCTAATCAGCTGCCAGTGTGGCTAGAATATAAAGCAGGGAGAAAAATGTGAAAAGACTAGACTGGGCTAGCCTCCCAGACTACATATTTCTCCCGTGCTGGATGCTTCCTACCCTCAAACATCGGACTCCAAGTTCTCCAGTTTTGGGGCTTAGACTGGTTCTCCTTTCTCCTCAGATTGCAGATGGCCTATTGTGGGACCTTGTGATTGTGTGAGTTAATACTTAATAAGCTCCCCTTCATATATATATATATATATTCTATTAGTTCTGTCTCTCTCTAAGAACCCTAATACATCAATCTATCTACCTATGAAACAACAGAAATGAGAGATGCTAACTTTAGTTAGAAATGTAAAAAGCATTAATTATATATCAAAATAATTTATACTTTTTTCAGGAAAGATAGACTTGTAGTTATTTTTTCAATGATGTGGGGTAATCCTATTTCTTTTCACAATCAATGGGTAAAAATGAAAAATATAAATCTTTTTTTGAAAGAGTAGGTTTTGAAATTAAATATATAATCAGTTTCAAGTCTCAAACTAAAAGAACAGATATTAATATTTTAGAGCCTAAGAGTAAAAGAAACCTTAATTTTGGTGCCATACTTCATAATACGTATTTAATAAATATAATAATGTACAATGAGGCAGGGCTAGGACCCTTGTGAAGTGAACCATTGGCCAAATCTCAGCAATATGTAGTAATTTAATAATAAAAGGAATATGACTTTGAAAACCTTGTAGCATTAACAAAGTACCAAGATGATTAAATGGCTTTGATGCATTTAAGATAGACAGAGGTATGATAAAAGTAAGTTTTGGGGACCATAGTCATATTAAGTCTATAAAATTCTTGCATACACTTACCCAAAAGTCATTTGCAGCTTTTTCCCTCCAATTAAATGATAGTTCCAAAATGCATTATTCTTTAAAATTATTTTCTATACTTTAAATTAGTTCAACAAATTTAAAATATAAATTTGTATACTAATAAAATAGATTCTAAATTACTCCTTAGTCTATGTTTATTTTAGATTTTTTTCTTTACATAAGGAAAAATAGTTCTGAATTTGTCATTCTTTCAGATGTCAAACAAGAAACTTTTGAACATAAAAGAAAAGCATATTATTTACTTCAAATATAATTTTTAAACTAAGATAAATTTAAATTTGGATATTAATATCCACAGAACACTTGATTCCTTGGCCACTTGAATGAGGAGTTTTCAACGTAATTGTTCATGTTTTTGATAATCTCTGGGACTCCCTCCCTCTCCACCAGTAAGTGCATAATAGGTACAACATATTTTGGATGAGTGAAGGTTTCTGCATTTATTGGCTTTGCTCTATTTACATACTTCATAAAATGGCCAGTTTATTCAGAAATATATGACTAATCACTTACACAATAGTGACAGCATTCCTAACTTCTTTCGCTTCCTTAGAAACCTTCAACACTACTAAATCCAAAATATGTAAATGACCAAGTGTATTAGTCTGTTCTCATGCTGCTATGAAGAAACACTTGAGACTGGGCAATTTATAAAGAAGAGAGGTTTAATTGACTCACAGTTTTGCATGACTGGGGAGGCCTCCGGAAAATTACAATCATGGCAAAAAGTACCTCTTCACAGGGCGGGAGAGAGAAATGAGTGCCCAGCAAAGTGGTAAGCTTACCCCTTATAAAATCATCGGATCTCATGAGAACTCACTATCACAAGAAAAGGATGGGGGCACCGCCCCCATGATTCTATTATCTCCACCGGGTCTCTCCCATGACACGTGGGGATTATGGGAACTACAATTCAGGATGAAATTTGGATGGGGGCACAGCCAAACCATATCATCAAGTACATATAATATTCATTCACTTTTGTTCTTAATTTTGTCTTTAATTTCGTTAAGTTTTCTGTGGATTTGGTGGTACCATTATAAGCCAGATCCTTCACTCTAGGCAGACAAATTTACACAGATATATTGGCTAACAGTGGATTTTATAACTCTGTAAGTTGGACTGAGATGTGTAATAAAAATTAGTAGATTCCCCCAAATATCAATTTAATTGATATTTTTATGTAACTGCTATTAGTTTATTACAGGATTAGTTGCTTGTTTCCTTACTTACTATCAAATAAACAGAGGATACACTGATCTTATTAAAAACTTATGCTTACAACAGTTTCTTATTTTTCAAAATATTTAATTTAGAAATTGAATGCTTTTCAGGAGTAAACCATTAATTCATGATAGAAATACTTCCAGTCCTTTCTCTTTCACCCCAATGTGCAAAAACTTCAAAAAAAATTTGCCTTTAATCACATATTAAATAGACTTGGCTGTACTTTTAGCAGAAACTGTCGTTTTACAAGAAATAAACTATTTTCTACTGTGAATTTCACATGCATTTAATTCTTCACTTGGTTTTGAGAGAACAGATGATAATTTAATAGTACATTTCTCCCCAAAACACAATATTAAGTGAATCTCACCTCTTTTATGCTTTTTGAATTTTTTAGAGTTTTGATTCCAATTATAAATTCCTTATGCTTTTATTTATTCTTCTCTATGGTTGAAATTTTGTTTGAAGCAAGATAATGGCTTATCCATTAGGTGACCATATGTCTCAATTTTCCTGAGACAGTCCCAGATTATATCTATTAACTAGGCATCCATCCAGGTTAGCATTTTTTCCTCTAAATTTTGTGTTTACAAAATAATTACTGTCATTATTAGATGCATAAAATAAGGCAGAATGACTTACACCTCTCTCCTTTTCTTCCAGAATTTTCCATGATTTCACCTAGTAGTTTGCGAGATGCATTTGCAGCAACATTGTGGTTAAATCTAAAGAGTGATCAAGAATAACCATCTCTCACCTTTCAATATTTTCAACATGCAATATAGCAAGCAACTCTCTTTTAAGGGAGACATACCGAGCATGCAAAGATCAAATAGCTTAAATTGGAAGACCAACAGCCAGGAACAATTAACTCTTTCTGGTATTGGGTGGTAGTGAGGAAAGCATTTGTCGAGGCTAAACCAGATGTTCACTTAGGGTTCTATCCAACTGTTTTGCGGCACATGCCACAACCTAGAAGGTGCATGAAGCCATGAGGCCACCAGTAGTTGAGGTCAGAAGAAATGTACAGGTTACTTTTGTATGCAACTAGCCTGTAACTACAATGTATATAGAAAACAGAGGCTGAGTAAATCTGTTGTTAACTATACAGAGTTGTGCTGTCCAATAGATAGCCACTAGCAATGACTATTTAAATTTAAAATAACTAAAATGAAATAAAACTAAAAATTCAGTTTCTTAACCACATTAACCCCATTTTAAGGACACAATGACCATATTTGGTTAATGGCTATGACTATTGGTATGAAAAATGTGTAACACCCAAAATTAAAGCAACTAAATATATAAAGCAAATATTAACAGAACTGAAGGAAGAAATAGGCAGCTATATTATACTAATAGTAGGGAACTCCAATGTCCCACTTGCAATAATGGATAGATCATCCAGACATAAAATCAGTAAAGAAATAGTGGACTTGAACAACACTATACGCCAAATGTACCCAACAGACTTATATAGAACATTTCATATAACAGCAGCAAAAACACACAATCTTTTCAAATGAAAGTGGCATATTCTCCAGGAGATTGAAATCACATCAGGCATATTTTTAGACCACATTGGTAACAAACTAGAAATCAATAACATGAAGAAAATTGGAAAATTCAAAAATAAGGGAAAATTAAACAACCTATATCCACACAATCAATGGGTCAAAGAAGAAATCAAAAGAGAAATCAAAAAGCATATTTATAAAAAGAAAAATGAAAACACAATATACCAAAATTATGAACTGTAACAAAAGCAACTCTAAGGGGGAAGATACAGTGATAAATACCTACATTCCTACATTAAGAAAGAAGAAAAATCTCAAACAACCTAACTTTACACCTCGGATAATGAGAAAAAGAACAAACTAAGCCCAAATTTAGCAAAAGGAAGAAAATACTAACTTTCAGAGCAGAAATAAATAAAATAGAGGCTAGAAAAGCAACACAAAACATCAAAGAAACCAAGTGTACGTTTTTGAAAAAATAAACAAAATTGAGAAAACTTTAGATAGACCAACTAAGAAAAAAAAGAGCGAACACTTAAATAAATAAAATCATTAATGAAGGAAGAGACATTACAATTGATACCACATAAATACAAAGAATCATAAGAAACTACTATTAACTACTTACAATAGCAAAGACATGGAATCAACCTAAATGTCCATCAGTGGTAGACTGGTTAAAGGAAATGTGGTACATATTCATCGTGGAATACTATGCAGCCATAAAAAAGAATGAGATTATGTCCTTTGCAGCAATATGGGCAGAGCTGGGGGCCATTATCCTAAGTGAACTAGCACAGGAACAGAAAACCATTTCTATACAAATAAAAAAAAGTAAAAATAAGAAAATAAATAAAATAAAATAATTAAAAATAAAAGACTTATAACTAATGAGGTAACTTAGGAAAGTATCACTATACAGAATCAACATACAAAAATCAGTAGCATTTCTATACACTAATAACAAATTATCTGAAAAAATCTGGAAAACAATCCCATTTACAATAGCTACATATAAGTAAAATATAAAAATTAGGAACACATTTAACCAAGGAGGTTGAAAAAAATCTGTACACTAAAAACTATAAAACATTAATGAGAGAAATGGAAGAAAACACAAATAAATTTAAAAATATTCCATGTTCATAGATTGGAAATATCACTATTAAAATTAAATGCCTATTTTAAAATGTTAAAATGTCCATACCACCCAAGCAAGCTTACACATTCTATACAATTACCACCAAAATTCCAATAACATTTTCACAAAAATAGAAAAACATAATCCTAAAATTCACATGGAACCACAAAAGATACCCAATAACCAGAACAACCTTGAGCAAAAGAGCGAAGCTGAACTCTTCACACTTCCTGATTCTAAGGTTTGCTACAAAGCTATAGTAATCAAAACAAAATTTTACTGGCATGAAAGCAGACATGTAGACCAATGAAACAGAACAGGTAGCTCAGAAGCAAAGTAATGCATTTACAGGCAACTGACTCACCTTTGACAAAGATGCCAAGAACACACAAGAGGGAAAAGACAGTCTCAATAAATGGTGTCAGTGAAACTGGATATTCACATGCAAAAGAATGAAATTGGGCCCTTATCTCATACTATAAAGGAAAGGGCTTCTTGATATTGGTCTGGGCAATGATTTCTTGGATATAATCCCAAAAACACAGGCAACAAAAATAAAAATAGACAAATGAGATTGCATCAAACTAAAAAGCTTCTGCTTAGCAAAACAACAAGCAGAGTGAAGAGATAACCTATGAAATGGGAGAAAAATATGTGTAAACCATACCTCTGATAAGTTAATATCCAAAATGTATTAAGAACTCAAACAATTCAATAGCAAGAAAACAAGCAGATTTTAAAATGGGCAAGAGGTAAATAGGCATTTCTCAAAAGAAGACATAAAAATTGCCAAATGGTACATGGAAAAATGTTCAACAATAATCACCAGAGAAATGCAAACTAAAACCAAAATAAGATATTACTTCACATTTGTTAGAATGACTACTGGAAAAAAAGACAAAAAGGTAACAAGTGTTAGTGAGACTGTGGAGAAAAGAGGACCCTAGCCACTGGTGATGGAAATGTAAAATAGTACAGCTGTTATGAAAAACAGTATGGACGTTCCTCAAAAAACTGAAATTAACTATCGTATGATCCAGAAATCCTACTGCTGGATAGATATACAAAGGACATTAAATCAGCTTGTTGGAGATACAGCTGCACTCTTACGTTTATTGTAGCATTATTCCCAAAAGCAAAGATATGAAATCAACATGTGTCCATTGATTAACTAATGGATAAAGAAATGTGGTATATATACACAGTGGGATACTTCTTAGCCTTTAAAAAGAAAGAAATCTTGTCATTTGCAACAACATGGATGAACCTGGAAGACATTATACCAAGTGAAATAAGCCAGGAACAAAAAGACAAATGCCACATAACCTCACTTGTAAAAGGAATCTAAAAAAGTTGAACTCATAGAAGTGGAGAGTAAAATTGAGGTTATTAGAGATAGGAGGTAAAAGATTGAAAGAATTAGAGAACTGTTGGTCAAAGGATACAAAATTTCAGTTAGACAGAGGTAATAAATTTATTATAATATCCATATAAGAAATACCGTAATGACTATAGTTAATAACAATATATTGTGTATTTGAAAAGTGCTAGCAGAGTAGATTTTAAGTGTTCTTACCACAAAAGAATGATAAGCATGTGAGGTAAAGCATATGGTAATCAGTTTTATTTAGCCATTCCACAATGTATACATATATTGAAACATCATGTTGACACCATAAATGTAAACAATTTTTATTATTTAATTAAAAAGTAAAGAACCTCTTTGTTCATACACACAAAAAGATTTTAGACTTTATAATAAGAATATTCTTGTACAAGTCTTTTCTTTATCTCTTCAATACCTAAAAGTAGAGTTGTGATACATGGGACAGATGTGTTGTACCTTCTCACCATCAATGTATGAAAATTGACCCACACCTGTAACATCTGGTGTTGGCATTTAGTGGATGTGAAGTGGTAACTCATTGTGACTTTACATTTCCTTAAGGACTAAGGCACTTTTCATGCGCTGAAGAACCTTTTCACATACTTTTTGGCTCTTTTTATGTCTTCTTTGTGAAGCATATTCTGTTTGTCTTTTAATTAGCTTATTTTATTGACTCTTTGGAGAAGTTCTTCATATGTTCTAAATGTAAGACCTTTCATATTAGTTTTTGGCTTGTAAGTTTTGATGAGTAGAAAATTTTAATTGTGATGACATTCAAATTAACAATATTTTTCCCTCATGGTCTGTGTTCTTTTTATCTTCTCCAGGAAATTTTTGCCTACACTGAGGTTGTAAGTACATTACCTTATGTTTTCTTCTAGAAGCTTTATGATTCTGTATTTTCCATTTAAGTCTGTGAGCCATTTCCATTTCTTGGGTGTGTAAGAATAACATAGGGGTTTTCTATACAGATGTTCAATTGTTCCATCAGCATTTGTTAAAAAGACCTGCCTTTCCCAATTGAAATTTCATAGCATTTTTTCCAAAAATTGATCAATCCTATATATGTGTATCTATTATAAGCCCTTTATTCTATGTGTCTGCATTCCAAAATCACACTATATTCTTTCTTCTAGTTTTATATAAAATCTTGAAATCAGGTAATGTAAGTCTTCCTTGTTAATTTTTAAAACTGGCTATTCTATATACTTGGCATCTTCATATAAATTCTAGAATTAGCTTGTCTATTCCTTCAAAATTGCCTAGTTATTTAGGCAAAATAACAATATTAAATTATCTAATCCACAAATGTAGTGTATCTCTCCATTTATCTAGAAACCATAGTGGCTTCTATACAATGTACATTGCTAAACGTTGTTTTCTGCTTTTTCTCTAATGGGATATATAAACCTTTAAAGACAATAACCCATAACCATAGCACAATAAATAATCCATAGTCGACACTTAAGTAGCACAAAATCCCATGTTAGACTCCAAGCTTTACCACTTATTAACTGTGCATCCTTAGGCAAATTCCTTGATCTTTATGTTTTTCAGTTTTCATGTCTTTAAAGTGGGGATAACAAAACTCTTATAAAATTTTTTGGAGGATTAAATGAGCTAACCCACATGAAGATCTTAGAATACTGTCTGACATGAAGTAAGCCCACAGTAAATGTTAGATATTAGTCAGGCCAATATTTTTATTCTTATCTTTATCTAATTATTGAATACTTCTCTCAGTTCATAGGTGTGGCAACATCTTAACCATCCTAAAGATATTTATCTCAGGAATCTTTTTTTTTTTTTTTTTTTGAGACCGAGTCTCGCTCTGTGGCCCAGGCTGGAGTGCATTGGCGCAATCTCGGCTCACTGCAAGCTCTGCCTCCCGGGTTCATGCCATTCTCCTGCCTCAGCCTCCCGAATAAGGAATCTTAAAAAATGCTACAAAAAGGTACTTCTTAACACTGTACTGATAACAGCTTTAGATCCTTTTAATTAAGTCTTACTTTCTTAAAGATGACCAAGTAGCTGTTTTCAAAGGCTTTCAGTACTTTACATTGAAAAAGGTGAAGATAATTATTGGATATCATTGTTCAAGCTTTCATGTTCTTCAGTCATTATTAAAAGAAAATCGCTGTTTTGATGTATTAAATGTAATGAAGCCAGGCATTTTGCAAAGGACCTAGCATCAGATCCAGCCAGATAACAAATATTTCCTTTTGGAAGTCAAATAGGCTCACTGAGGCCCATTCAACTTGGGATAAAATAATAGCTATTCTAATAAAGTAAAGAGTAATATCAGATGCAAACACATTGGGAAGAAATGACAAACATCTGAAAAGGTGCCAAAACCAAAAATCCTGCCTGGAGTAAAGAGGAACCAGTGAATTTGTAAACACAGAAGTTGTCAACATTACTCCATACTGCCTTGTAAATTGTAAAACGCCTGTGATGAAGTTGTGCCAAAAGCAAGCATTTCAAAGTAACAGTTTACATTGTGTCTCTCCATGCATTGACTGTATTTACCATATCACGCAAGTAAGTATCCCAGAAATACCAGTGGGCTAGATTTTCCCAGCTGTATGTCTCTCTATGTGAACATGGCTTATATTTATTTCTTATCAATGTACCTCAAGAAAAGCATTATAGAAAAATGACCATCTAAGTGAGTAGAATGGCAGAACTTCCACTAGTTTTGATAAAATTGAGGAATTTTCAAAAGGGTCCATCACATTTTCAGAAAAAAATTAATTAGAATATCTCTTGACAGAACTCCAAACATTTACTCATTCTGTGGAAGTATTATTTTCTATCAGACTTGTTTAATGAGGTAATTCCAAGTGACATATAAGGCTAATTTGTCTTTCCCTATGGGCTTTAATCTCTTAATGTCTAATCTTTAATATTCTTAGTGAAAAAAAGACCAGCAAGGGTATCAGAAGTCTTATCCTCAGTGCCATTAAGCAGAATAAACTTGGTCAAGTCACGAAAACTTCTCTAAGCCTCAGCTAGTTCATTTCTGTGATGAGAAAAAATAAATGTCCATCCCCAGCATCTTTATACAGCAATCATGAATTTCATCTAAAAAGTACAGGTATATGAAAAGTAAGGAATTTAAGATGCCAAAAATGCTACATTGCCTAGGGTCTGGCACATAGTGGCCTCTCAATAAATATTTGTCAAGTAAATGATTACCTACTCAATAAATGATTTACTACTAATATTTGAGAAAAATGGAGTAAAATTACTTCTCTGCTCTCTGAAGATATTTTTGTAAAGTCAGTGCAACAGTGGGACAATCACTTAAATAGTGCATATCTAAAATAAAATAATACAGATTGTACAAAATGGAAGTTATCTTTCCTTGGATAAATTTTCTGCATGAATTTAATTTGTAATTACTTGTTCACCCACTTTACATTTTTAGTGACTGTAAGATCAATATGAGACCAATCAATGAGGAATTGATTCAGATAAAACACAGCCAGAATGAATTTCTTCCAATGAACTATAGAATCAGTTAACAAACAAGGGTATGAACAAAGAAGCAAGACTTGGATCAGTCGTTCTAGTAGCAGATACAGATGAAATTAAAAAGGGGCAAGAGGAACCAGGACATCAGTACGTAGAGGGGCAAAAAATAGTTGGCCAAGTATCTTTAGCAAAAATTTCAAAATACAGTAAAAACTAGGTAGAATATACACCAAGTAGGGTAGGCAGCTTGTGTTGACTTAGTTAGAGGTTCTCATTTATGGGATCACCTGAGCAGACAGCAGCAGTCAGATAAAAATAGAAAGTGGTAGCCATATTTTCTGACCAGGAAATACAATTCCTATAAGAATTGGTGACAAGACAGGAGCCAGGTGACTGAAGAAGTGGGGAATGCAGCAAGAAAGCCACTAAACAAGACCTGTGACAACAGCCCACACTGGGAAAATGGAAACAAAATTCATGACTGTACTGACTCGAGGTTGGCTAATGGACCATGTCTAAGACCACCTTACTATATATCCTTTCAATGCAGGTCAGTGTCAGGCTTTGGCTTAGGAGAAGCAAGACCAACAGAGGAGAGTTATCCAGCCCAGTCTGTCACTAAGAATGGTGGGCTACAGGCCAAGACATAGTCTTTTCCAAAAGATTTCCAAAAAATAGAACTTGCCCCAAGGACTGACTCCTATCATAATAGAAAGATTAGACAGGAACGGGAAAATAATCATGAGTATTCAACCAAATATGAGAGAAAAGGTCAAAAATAAATATCCTCTAATAGGTCAATTAAAAAATTTCTCTCATTTACTTTTCTCAACTTTGTTCTAAAGAATAAAATGCGTTTACTAGCATTTATATTTTTTGATATCCCAAGCATAATCAATAGCATGTTAACTGACTACTTATACCACAGAAGTATATTGTTATTCAGTCATCAGTGAACATTTGTTACTATCTTCAGAGAAGCATTTTAGTATGGTAATTAATAATGCCAAGTCTGGAATCAGATTGCCTGTGTCCTAATGTAAGAGCCACTACTTACCAACTATGTGACCCTAAACAAATTATGTGACCTCTCTGGCCCTTATTTTCCTAAGCTATCAAATGGGGTTAATAATAATACATGCCTCAATAATATTGTTAGAATTAATATGTATCATTACTTAGAATAGTAACAGGCACATAGTAAGCATTTTACATGTTGGCTCTCTATTATTATTACTATGTGTTTACCATATATTCAAGAAATATTTGGCCGGGCGCGGTGGCTCACGCCTGTAATCCCAGCACTTTGGGAGGCCGAGGCGGGTGGATCATGAGGTCAGGAGATCGAGACCATCCTGGCTAACAAGGTGAAACCCCGTCTCTACTAAAAATACAAAAAATTAGCCGGGCGCGGTGGCGGGCGCCTGTAGTCCCAGCTACTCGGGAGGCTGAGGCAGGAGAATGGCGTGAACCCGGGAAGCGGAGCTTGCAGTGAGCTGAGATTGCGCCACTGCAGTCCGCAGTCCGGCCTGGGCGACAGAGCGAGACTCCGTCTCAAAAAAAAAAAAAAAAAAAAAAAAAAAAAAAAAAAAGAAATATTTATTGAGTGTACTTCAGACTTGCTAGGTGTTACAAGCAAGATTCTCTGGAAATAGACACTGGGACAGTGTTTGTTGTATAAGATATTTACCAGGACCTAACATAGCTGGAAAGAACGAGGAAGAACCAGAATTGGGCAGAGGGAGAAGTTGAACTACAGCTCAGGCCAATCAAACCTTGGCCAACAGCACAGAGGTCTGGAATGTATATAGAACATGAAAATTGTCTCACCAAGAACTGACATGGTCAGACCTCCATGCCCCAACCATGATCAGTCAATAGATGGGCAAACAATTCCTGAATTGACCAAATATCTTGGTCCATACTTTATAACTAAATATTTAAAATTATAAATCAAATTAACAAACTGTCAAATCAAATGTAACCTACTCCATTCCCCCTTGACAAATACACATCAGAATAACCTGGAAGGTTGAGCTAAAAATTAAACTTCTCAGGTGCTCAAATTTCCCTCCAACAGCTTGGAGGACTGGGGGAAAATTGACTTTGTCTTGCCCCAACCCACAGCCCTGTATCTTCTCATTCCTAGTTCTCATCCAAAATGTGAGAGGTCTCAAGTCACAGGTTTGGACTCCTGGCTGAGGTCCAAGTTCAGTCCACCTTCCTTGAAAACAGGTGTCCTTTGGTCGTACTTGACTTCTGGGTGCACATAGTGTCTGTCCTGTCTGCCCTGAAGAAGATAAAGCCAAGGAAGAAGGCCTGAGCAGACCTTAAGAATGGGCTCAGCTCCATGCATGCAAGGAATTCCAGAGTCCCTGGGACAGAAAGGGAGGGGACACAGGCTCCTCTTAGCCAGCTGGAATCCTCATCCTCAGGGAGGGTCACTGCCAGCTGAGGACTGGACTGGAGCCTTAGAATATGTGGCCTGTGATAGGCACATCTCTTTTCTGTATCCAAAGAGGGTCTGTGTGGCCAACTGCCCAAACAGCCCAAACAGTTTGCCCCTAACTTCTTCAAGATAAAGTGGAGCATATAATACCTATTTCAAAGATAGTGTGTGGGCCTGAAACAGAGTGGTGATTTTGAAAGCACAATATTCAGATGTTAGCAGCTGTTTTGATAGCCAGGCATAGAGGAAAATGGAAATATTTCCAGTTAGAGATCAGTAAACTCCTTCTACATCCTTCTATAGAATTTAGACTTGAAAAATGGAAAGCATATTGAAAGTCCAAAGTGTGGACTGTGCATGAAACAGAATTTCCAGCCAAAAGAATGACAGGAACAAAGGCATAGAGATAAGAAATTATCATATTTTCCATAAAAAACAAGTGGTCCAGACTGCCTGAGGTGGAGGACATTTGCTCAGGTTAGTGTGACTTATGTTCAATGGAAAAGGTGGACTGGGCAGAGATTGGGGTGAGGGAGTGTGGGAGATTATGTATGTGTGCGTGAAGAATGGTTGAATATCAGTCTCAGAATAATTACCAAGACATAACTAAATTAGCATAGTCTTTATATTTTCAGTTTCTGATTTTATATGCACACACATATAAAATATAAAGTTAATTATTTTAAACACAATTATAAACTTCCTCAACATTTTGCATAAGAGTGATTTTCCAAGAATAGAGCTGGTGATGAATCTTTTGGCATATTTTCTTCTTTCTCTTCATATTTTCTGCTTTGTGAAGATTTGAAACCTAGATTCAGCCCTGAAGACACTGGATGCATGAACTGAGGTAAGTTATTTAACAACTCTGACTCTCAATTTTCTTTTCCATAAAATGGAGATATCATGCCCACATTATGTATTTCATGGAGCGATATTACAGTTGTTAACTTCTTATTCATTTGGGCACATTTTCTACTGCCACTCATCCTTGTCTTTCTCACTCTGTCACTTCCCCACTTTCTTGTTGAAAGTGGCATTTATAGGTTTTCCCTTTCTCATTGCTTTAATATTCTTGGAGAAATATGCAAATGTAAATATTTTTTAAAAGCATTTGTAAGCAATTGCTGGGCAAGGCATTTTGGAGGAGGAGGAAACTTGGAAAGGCAAAGAAATTCAGTCAGAGATACAACTCGTCAAATACTGGGTATGGGATAGTGCAACATGAGCTGTACTTGCACTGAAGTTTTAAATGCAATATAATTAAAAATCATAACTCTTGTATCAAATTGATAGAATGTCAAAATATTTAGGCTAGTGCTTTGAATATCTGGCAAATATTCATTATGGGAATAATCCTTATATCACATGAACTCTTTGAATACTTTATCCTCACTGCTATTCCGCACTTACGAATTTCTACCTTGCACTGGTTCGTAAAACTAGTTAACTCTCTGCCACCCAGCTCCTACTTGACCACATGCCCTTGAAAGGCAGATTTACATGTTACTTCTTGCAAACACAAGAATGTATCATTTTACCTTGTAAGTAATACTTAACTATTAAATATTGAATAAACTCTTGGATAATTCTATCCTAAAGTGCGAACTCTTTTTCAGACACCATGCTAGATAATTATAATACAACGGAAAGAACATTGGTGAAAATGTAAGGAAAAAGTGAAGAATGGAGTGTAACCCAGACTGGGAGACCTACTGTGAGGAGTGGCACCAGGGTTAATGCTAAATGATGAAACATTTGGTTAGGTCGAGGGCTGGAGGAAAGATGGAGGAAGAATGTTACAGGCTAAGGAGACAGCATGAGCAAAGCCCAGAGAGGAGAAAGAGCTGCATAATTCATATTTCTGAATGCAGAGTACACTGTTGAAAAGATATAAAATATTACTTTAGAGCAGCAGGAAATGAGACTAGAGAGGAAGATAGTTCCCCCGACATAGAGGATGGTATATGGCGTCTGAAGAAGCTCAGAGTGTAATGTGCAGTCAATGAGGAGCCTTTGAAGGGTTAAACAGAAGGATAGCATTGTCAAAATAGACATAGAGCTGGCTGTTGTGTGGAATTCAGATTTGAGACAGACGAGACTACTGGTAAAGGGGCCTGCAGTTACAGGCTATTATTGCAGTGTGGTTTGGAGATGGTGAGGGTGAAACCAGGGCAGAGGAGAGTTTCAGTGTGAAAACTCACACTAGAAAATAGAATGAGATGTTTAAGAGTGAAAATTGGATGAACATGGAGATTAAGTGAATTTGGCTTATATAGAAAAGGGAAAGATCAAGAATGACTCACAGCCTTCTGGACTGATTATATGCCAATGATTTCATCAAAAAGTAGAGGAAGCAAATTAAGAAAAATATGAGCTTTTTGGACACACTGAATTTAAAAGTAGGTCATATTGATATGAATGTACCATGGGCAGTTAGCCATGGTACATGGTACATGGTATGCTTGGGCTTGGAAAAGATCTGGGTTGCAGTTATAGTATTATAAGCATACATGTATTAATGCATTAATAAAGCATATGCTTACTATATTATAAGCACATATATATTAATAGGAGCTGAAGAAAACTGCCCAGGAAATACATGATACAACATGAACAGTGGGAACAGAATGGGAACTAAAGCACGGACAGATGAAGAAATGCCCAGGAGAGAAAAAATTACAGTTGAGAAATCCAAAGACTAGTGTTTTGGAAGCCAGGGGTTGGAAAGTTTAGAAGAGTGAGTGATTAACAAGATTGAATGTCACAGAGAAATTAGATAATATGAAGACTGAAAACTATGAGTTGATTTGGGAATTGGGATATCATAAATGACATTTGTAAGAGTATTTTCAGAAGACTAGTTAAAAGTAGAAACTAAATTTCAATGCATTAAAGAGTGAATGAAAGAAGAGTGAAATCTTGAAACAAGAAGAATAGACTACTTTGATGGGAAGGGAGAGTTTGAATGAAAAAAGAGGTTGAAGAAAGTGATAACAAAAGGGTGGCACAGGATTAAGGGAGCTTTTTAAAGTTTTTAGGTGGAGGGAGACTTCAGCCCTTTTAGAGGTGATGATAGTAAAAATTTAGTGATATTTTAAAATAACTAAAATATTTTAAACACATTATATGTGGGGCACTGCACTAGATGTTTATATGCATTGTTTTATTTAATGCTTATGGCAATTTGACACATAATTATTTCTACAGAGGAAGGGACTGAAGTTAATAGAGATTAAGATAAACTGCTAATGATTAGAGAGTTAGTAAGCAGTGGAGGTAGAATCTGAGCTTAGCCAGCCAAACTTAAGGTTTTATTCCTGGTCACTACTCTGTAATGTTTCTAGAAGGGAAACAGACAATGAAGAGATGAGAGTAGAAGATGGTGAAAGAGCAGGTGAGACGGAATGAGGCCATGAGCACAGGTGAGATGGCCACCCTTAAAATGAAGGAGAGATGCAACATTCTCTGAGACTTAAGAGGGGATAAAAGGTAGAGTTTTAGATGTATGTGTTTGTATCTCTGGAGCAGAAAGAAAAGGATAAGTTTCTTTGTATCCCAATTTTGTCAATGAAGTGATGGAACATTGTCTATGACTTAGAGTAAAGGCGTGGGTGTTGAGAGACTTGAGGAAAGTGATGAAGACCTGTAACAGATGTTTGAAGGAAAGGGAAGAAGGTAATTGACCAAGTTCAAGTGAAAGAGTAACAAATGGCCTTGAAATAAAATACTAATCAACATGGCTGTATTTCTATCAGCAGGACTAAGCTTCCTGGGTATGAATAATGAGTAGGCAGCCAACTTTAGGAAGCCAAGGTGGAAGGATCACTTAAGCTCAGGAATTTGAGACTATCCTAGGCAACATGGCGAAATCCCATCTCTACAAAAAATATAAAAAATTAGCCAGGTGTTGTGATGCACACCTGTATTCCCAGCTACTTGAGAGACTGAAGTGGGAAGATCAATTGAGCTCTGGAGGTTGAGGCCGCAGTGAGCTATGATCGTGCTAGTGCACTCCAGCCTAGGCCACAGAGTGAAATCTTGTTTTAAATAAATAAAGTAAGTAAGTAAGTAAGTATGAGTGGGTAAACCGTTTCTTTAGTGAGCCAGAGAGGCTGTGTGGTCCATAAGGTCTCTGTTGCAACTTGTCAACTCTACCTTTGTGATGGAAAAGCTGTCATAGACAACATGTAAATGAATAAGCATGGCTGTGTTCTAATAAAACTTTATCCATGGACACTGAAAGCTAAATTTCATATAATTTTCATGTGCCATAAAATATTATTCTTTTGAATTTTTTCAACTATTAAAAAATGTAAAAGCCACTCAGGGTGCAGGTTGTAGGAAAAGTGGTGGGCTTAACTTGACCATAGTTTGCTGACCCCTGGGTATATAGCACAGAAGTTGGGCTATATATTTGATATAGTGTTGGGGTTTTGCTTATCCAGAGTAGTAGACAGTACAAAACAACAAAGAGTATTTGTGTGTCAGTCATTTGCCTATTGTACTTAGATCACTTCTTGCCTTCCCTTGCTCTGTGAGGAATTACATTGTCCAGGTTCCCTAGCTCACTGGTTTTAGGTACATTTAGTCAATAGGGAGGCACTAGTGGAAGATGGTGATAGGGGAGCAAATGGTTGTGTAATTAAGTTATCATTTATTAGCCCCAAACCCACCCTTTTATAGTCTGCCCTGTTATGCTGAACTTCTGACTCCACAAACTCTATTTCTCCTTTGCCAAGAGACTCCTGTTAGGCTTTGTAAATAGGGAGTGCAAGGAGAATCCTGTAAGGCAGTAAAAGGGAGAGCAGCTGAGTTCTTTCCTATTTGCTTTCTGTTAGTGACAGCATGACCACAGCAATGATTTTTCATTCCAAAAGTGGCAGTTTCTTCAGGTAGCCATTGATTCTAAGTTCCAGGTTTTTTTGTTTATTATTTTTGTTTTAGACACTTCCAGAAACAGTCTCATCTTCACACTTCATAAAGGATCCAGCACAAGCTGGCAAGCAGCCCCTCCTCAAAGATCTGAGTTCCAGCCCACAGGGACCTTTGCCTAGGCCCCTGAGGTTACAACAGCAGCTAGCTATTACCCATCTTCTCCCCCATTCAGAGGACTGAATTTCAGCCCGGCATGACCCGTCTTCAAATCCCTATCTTCCAGTACTCCTAACTTCTTTCTTTTCTTACCCTGGCCCTGGGGCTAGTGGTTGCTTTCTTCAGTTACTATCTCTGTACTGCCTCAGTGTCCCCTCTTTAGTATTTCAGTACTTCAATACCTGTTATGTCCAATTGCCTATATTAAATTACCTCTGTTAAAAATAATTGGTATGGGTTCTCTTTTTTTCTGACTGTACTCAGTTGCACATACCCCAGGGCTATTTTTTTCTCTTGTTCTGCTTTGATTGTTCTTTCTAGAAGCAGCTGTATCTTCTCCAGCTCTTTCTGCACATACCCTCCCCTCATAATACCAGCTCTGCCAAGCAACTCTCACCATGGTTTTACTTCTGTTCAGTAAGCTTTGACTTTTGGACTACAGGAATGCTACTCTTTCATGCTTTCTATCCAGCCCTGGGGGTGGTGGTGACTTCCTATTTTTGCTAACCTGAGCTGTGGCACCATCCCTTATTTGTATTTTAAACTCATCTATCACATGTCATTATATTAAACTCCATGTGTTTTAAATATCTAGTATGGCTTCTGCTTTCTTGACTGTACCCAGACTTATACACCAGTGAAAGCATAGCTTAGATGATCAGTCATGAGATTCGAGGTATAAATGAAAGAGAGAGACAAGAAGGGGTTTATTACATTGTGAGAACCTACAGAAATCACATTAATGACAATCTAATGGGGTCAAATAATAGTGTCTTGGGAATAAATAATAAGCAAGCTGCTGACAATGAAAGGTTTCAGTTAGAATGTGAGATATTTGAGGTCTTGTTTTAGAATAATAAAATATTATTTAATGGATTTTCTATCAATCTTATTTGAGAAAATTTTATTTTGAAGTGAGGAAACCAACTCAAGCAACTAGAGAAAACAGGAATAAAACTGCTTCTTTGCAAAGTCAATTTTAAATGAACATTAAAATTGTTATTTTCCAGCTTTCTCAAATTGTCAGTTAAAACATATTGAAAAGGAAACAGCTGCCTGCTTTTACCAGATGTTCTGCAAATATTCCGAATATTTTATACATATTAAGTCACTATGGAAAAGCAGTGCTGGACCTGAAAGGTATTTCTCTTGCCAATTTTTAAAACATTGAAAACAAATTTTATATGTCAAGATTATTATGATTAATTTTAATTAACTTTTTTAACAAATTATTATTTTTTAGAAATTTATCACAGGGTATCACTATGTACTAGTAGTAAACTCAGACACTATTACAAAATCAGAATTAATACTTCTGATAATTTATAATTTGTAATTCTGATTTTCTCATCCTTGAATAGGAAAGGCTTGTAGTAACTTTGCATTGATTCTTAGAAGACATAACACAAGTTATTTTGTTAAATGAAAGAATTTCATTTCTGAGTTTACTGAAGTGTTTGACCAACTGCATATTATTTTACATATCTTTATTGACCTCTCTGCAGCATCAGACAAATAGATGATCTGCTTTTCACTGAGCCTCCAGAGTACCACACTGTCTTGCTTTTTCCCCTACTTTTTAAATCTACATTCGAATTCCTCCTCTTTTCCCAAACCCATTCATATTGATGTGTCCCAGTTCACTGCTCTGGACCTTTCTCTCTTCTAGTTATACTTATTCACTAGAGAATCTCATTTAGCTTCTTGGCTTTAAATGCCATCCACACACCTCACACCAACACAAACTACATCTTTATCCCATGCCTCCCTTTTGAACACTGCACTTGTTTACCAGGCTGGCTAGCTGGCATTTCCACTTACAGATCTAACTGATGTCTAAAGTGGAAACTGTCTAGAATAGAGCTCTTTATACCTGCTCCACCTGTAATCTACCCTACCTCCACTGATGGTAGCAACTTTCTCCTTTATATTCTTTGGCCCAAAAACTTCAGAATTATTCTTGAGTCCTGTCTTTTTCTTATGTTTCATTTCTAATCCATCAACATATCCTACTGACTGCCTTCAAAATACATCTAAAATTTGAGCACATTTCACCATCTCAATGTTTCCATCTTAGTCTCAGTCACCATGATTCTTTATCTAGATTACTTCAGAAGCCTCCTACCAGGACTCCGTGTTTCTAACCTTGCCCTCACCCCATCTTTATAGTTTTTTTTTCTCAATACAGCAGCCAAAGTGATACTTTTTAAATTAGATAATGTCATTCTTCTGCTCAAACTTTCCAGTGGCTTCCTGCTATGGTCTGAATGTTTGTGTCCACCCCAGAATTCATATGTTGAAATCCTAACTACCAAGGTGATGATAGCAGAAAGTGGGACCTTTGGGAGATGATTAGTTCATACGAGTGGAGCCCACATAGATGGGAATAGTGCCCTTATGAAAAAGACCCCTCATCCCTTCTACCATGTGAGGACGCAGAGAGAAGGCACCAGTTAGGAACCAGAAAGTGGGCTCTCACATATTTAATTGGCTGTTGCCTTGATCTTCCACTTTTCAGCCTCCAGAACTGTAATAAATTTCTCTTGTCTATAAGCCACCCAGTCTATGGTATTTTGTTATTGCAATCCAAATGGACTAAGACACTTCCCATTCCCCTTATAGTTAAAGCTGAAGTCCTTACCATGGTCTGAGGGTGGTACAACTTCTGCCTCCTCCCATCACTTTCTGACTGCTGCTTCTCTCCCCCTTGTTCACTCCTTTCCAGCTACCCACCACCTTGCTGTTCCTGTTTTCCCAAACTATCCACTGAGGTGCTGACATGGTTTGGCCATTTCCCCACCCAAATCTCATCTTGAATTGTAGCTCCCATAATTCCTACGTGTTGTGGGAGGGACCCACTGGAAGTTAATTGAATCATGGGAGTGGTTTCCCCATACTGTTCTTGTAGTAGTGAATAAGTCTCACAAGATCTGATGGTTTTGTAAGGGGGGTGGGGGGTTGCTTGCACAAGCTCTCTCTCTTGCCTACCACCATGTAAGACTTGCCGTTCACCTTCTGCCATGACTGTGAGGCCTCCCCAGCCACGTGGCACTGTGAGTCCATTAAACCTCTTTCTCTTTATAAATTACTCAGTCTTGGGTACATCTTTATCATCAGCATGAAAATGGAGGAATACAGATGCCCTAGAATGACAGAACAAACTCACAAAGGTATTGAAAGACATCTTAAAATTTTAAAGGAAAAACAAGCAATACCTGACATCTGCCAGACACCATATGAACTACTAGCTTGAGACAGCTCACAGCTCAGCAGTAGATTGTGCTCTATTCTTTTCGATGAGGTCAAACCCTTGTGAAGTTGAATTTGGGGTAGTTTTTGTGGTAAAAGTCTTACACCTCACAAAACTAGTGAGGAATAAGAAATTATGATGTTAATGTTCACCTAACTTTAAGATTTGAGAAGCTACTGAGTTCTCAATAGGCATACATGTTCCATTCATAAATAATTGTGGTAATTTATAAATAAAATAAAAATATTCATTTTCTTACAATATATGTGTTTTAGTTTTTCAACTGACTACTAAAGTATTTGGGAAGAAAATTCATGTTGATTGGGACTAACTACTTAATGAATGAAACTGTTTATTTTGGTTTAAAGACACTGTGAGCTTCATGAATCTAAAAAGTTTGGGACATCTGCTTTGGTCATTCTCTGGCTTTAGGGCCTTTACACTCTGTTCTGTATTCCTAAAAAGCTCTTTTCTCACACACCTGCATGGCTAACTTCATCACCTCCTTTCAGTCTCTGCTCAAATGTCACTTCACAATGAGGCTGACTGTGAGAACTCTATTTAAAATGACAATCAGCTTCTTACCTCCATCTTGGCACTTGTGATTTTACATAACTCATTCTATTTTATTTTTCACCCCATATCACACATCACTTCAAGAAAACTTAAAATTCTTTAATGTTCATTGTTATTTCCACTGGAATACAAGGAAGAATTTGTCTGCTTTGTTTCCTGATATATTTCAAATGCCTAGAGTATGCCTGGACCATAGTTAGTATTCAATAAGTAATAGTGGAAGGAATATATTTATTTCCCAGTCTACAAAAATCGACACTCAAAAAAAGCAAAAATATAAACAGAAGAGATCTATTATCTTAGGATACTCATTCAAAATTTCACATGCTTTTTAATGCTTAGATGAGACAAGAGGATATTTCCTTGAATCCCAGGATAAGGATTGATTCTCACCTATATAACCATAAAATGAAGTACATCTTTCTTTAAAAAAAGAACAAATAAAAACCTCTTTGTGTTCTCTTAGCTTTGTCATTCAGGAGGGCAAAAAATAATGGGAAAATGATAGGAGGGGTAATAAGATTATAAATAATGAGTGGGAATCATGTCACTATTATAAGAGTTTTCTTAAGTATACTAGATATACTAACTGATTTTCAATAACGTACAAGCTGCATATTGAAAACTGTGTGATAGGTAAAGACCCAGACCCTATCCTTGAAAAGTACATAATTGTGTATATAAACAGCTACTAATATAAATGGGAAGTTGTTAGTGACTTGACACCAATATAGACAGAGTGTAATGGGGATTAAGGAGAAACAGGAGGAAAGAAGAATTTGGAAAACTTCAAGGAGAATTTAAGTAAGCTTTTAAACAAGGTTTAGAATTAGAAATGCACAGATTGTGGGGTAGGAGGGAGAATGGATCTTCCAGCAAAAAAGAGGAGAAATATTTTTAAAGTAATTAGAAGGATAAAATAAAGTAAGTCTTGTTTGGCCAGTTGTGAGTAGATGTATATAGCAGTCACTATCCATAAATATAAATATGTAAATTTGCCTTCATTTATTTGAAGGGCCATTTTGAATCATTTTATAATATTCTCATTTTTTTAGTACTTGTGTCAGTCTTGAGCTTCTTTGCCCCTAAAGTCATTCCCTGTCCTCCTGCTTCGACTGCAATGCAGGAGGACTGACTCCAGCCAGCCAGGCTGTAAATAATTCTTAGGCTCCTGCATCAACTGACTTCTGCCCAGGTTTAGCCATTAGCAGGTACAAGCAGAAGAATGAGACTAACAGGTAAGAGTACTCACCCTTCTCTGTCTGTCTGGAATACTAATCTATGGTAGCAAGTGTGTTTCCATTGTGGTTTCCTTGTTTTCAGGCCCTCTAGGCAGGCCTACGTGGTTCCAGCTTCCATGGGGTGATGCATTATTGCCTAGGTTAGAACTACTTCCTGTTTTTGTCTGTTCACTCTAGGCTTATAAGGGGGTTCCTATTTTTTGATATTTGGATTGCCTCACCGTCTTCTTTAAGTTTGCAACTCTCCTATCACCCATAAAATCAATCCCTTGCTTTAAATTGTTTCCATCACAAATAATTGAAGTGCTTTCCATTTTGCTGACTATAACTGACCCTGACTGATTCAGTAATTATTACAGTATCTGTTATGGGCTAAGTTGTGTCACCCCCAAAATTCATGTTGAAGACCTAACCCTTAGTACCTCAGAATGTGACTATATTGGGAGGTAGGCCCTTGATGAGGTAAAACAGGTAAGATAAATTCATATCAATGGTCCTAGTCCAACATGACTGGTATCCCTATAGAAAGAGGAGATTAGGACAAACACACACACAGGGTGAAGACCACATGAAAATAAAGAGGAGAGTTGGCCACCTATAACCCAATGAGAGGCCTCAGAAGGAAATTTTCCATGTTAGCAAAGTGTATTTTCTGTATTCTAATTTAATCAGAATTTGTCTACATGTAATCTGTTGAATGTGATACTCAGAAAGACATACCACTGCATGTAGCCACTAAAAAGCCATGGATTCTTCTAATTTATGGAACAATCTGCTTAAATATACCCAGGAGAGGTGTAACAGAAAAAGAAAAGTATTATAATAATAGTGATTAGCCTTTCATAATTATTTTTAAATGCACGTACATCCACCTGAAAGAAGAGATTTAGAATATTTGACTTGGAAGAGGAGATAACTAAGGTGAAAGAAGAGAAAGAAAAATAGCTATTCCAAAAAACTGAGGAAGAACTTCTCACTGACACATTTGAAGAAGCCAGAATTACCCTGATACCAAAATCTGGCAAAGACATAACAAAAAAAGAAAACTACAAGCCATATCCCTAATGAGCACAGACACAAATATCCT
Source organism: Homo sapiens (assembly GCF_000001405.40). Taxonomy (NCBI): domain Eukaryota; kingdom Metazoa; phylum Chordata; class Mammalia; order Primates; family Hominidae; genus Homo; species Homo sapiens. The sequence goes on along the minus strand of NC_000004.12, from coordinate 79,420,731 downwards.
CAACAAAATACTAGCAAACTGAATCGAGCAGCACATCAAAAAGTTAATTCACTGTGATCAAGTAGCCCTTATTTTTGGAATGCAAGGTTGGTTTTATATATGTAAATGGATAAATGTAATTCAACACATAAACAGAATTAAAAATAAAACCATATGACCATCTCAATATGTGCAGAAAAAACCTTCAATGAAATCCAACATCCCCTCATTATAAGAACCCTCAACAGATTATGAATTAAAAGAACATACCTCAAAATAATAAGAGCCGTCTATGATAAATGCATAGCCAAAATCATACTGAATAATCAAAACCTGGAAGCATTCCTCTTGAGCAGTGGACCTAGACAAGGATACCTACTCTCACCATTCCTATTCAACACAGTGCTGGAAGTCCTATCCAGGGAAAATCAGGCAAGAGAATGAAATAAAAGCCATCCAAATAGGAAAGAAGACCCTGAAGACTCTGCCAAAAGGCTGCTAGAGTTAATAAGTGACTTCGGTAAAGTTTCAGGATACAAAAATCAGTAGCATTTCTATACAACAAAAATAGTCAAACTAAAAGCCAAGTTGAGAACACAATCCTATTTACAATAGCCACATATAAATAAAATATATTGGAGTACATCCAACCAAGGAAATACATAAGATGTACTTCCTGAAAAGAAATCATAGATGACACAAACAAATAAAAAAAAGTCCATGTTAATGGATTGGAGGAACCAATATCATTAAAATGACCAGACTACCCAAAGCAATCTACAGATTCAACACTATTCTGATCAAATGACCAGTGTCATTTTCCACAGAACTAGGGGAAAAATGACCAAATAGTAATAATTCTAAGCAAAAAGAACAAAACCAGAGACAGGCTGGGTGTTGTGGCTCAAGCCTGTAATCCCAGCACTTTGGGAGGTCAAGGCGGGTGGATCACTTGAGGTCAGGAGTTCAATACCATCTTGGCCACCATGGTGAAACCCTGTTTCTACTTTAAAATGTACAAAAATTAGCTGGGTGTGGTGGTGTGCACCTGTAGTCCCCACTACTCAGGAGGCTGGGACAGGAGAATCTCTCAAACCCAGGAGGCGGAGGTTGCAGTGAGCCAAGATCATGCAATTCCACTCCAGCCTGGGAGACAAAGCAAGACTCTGTCTCAAACAGCAACAACAACAACAGCAAAAAGAACAAAGTCAGAGGCATCACATTACCCAACTTCAAACTATACTATGAGGTTATGGTAGTTAAAACAGCATGGTACTGGTTATAAACAAAACAAAACAAAAAACAGCACAAAAGAACAGGATAGAGAACCAAGAATTAAAGCCATACACAGACAACCATCTGATCTTCAACAAAGTTGACAAAAATAATAAGCAATGAGCAAAGACCTCCCTACTCAATAAATGGTGCTGGGATAGCTGGCTATCCATATGCAGAAGAATGAAACCAGACCCCTACCTATCACCATATATACTCAAGATGGATTAAAGACTTAAACATAAGACCTCAAACTGTTAAAATCATGGAGGAAATCTAGGAAACACCTTTCTCAGCATCAGCCTTGGCAAATAATTTATAATTACGTCCTCAAAAGCAATTGCAACAAAAACAAAAATTGAGAAATGATATCTACTAACAATTTAACTAAATAGCTTCTGCACAGCAAAAGAAACTATCAAAAGAATAAATAGACAACCTAAAGAATGGGGGAAAATTTTGCAAACTTTGTATCCAACAAAGGTCTAATGTCAAGAATCTACAAGGAACATAGGCAAAAAACACACAACCCCTTACAAAGTGGACAAAGGACATGAACAGACACTTCTCAAAATAAAACATACATGCAGCCAACATGCACATGAAAAAAAGTTCAACGTCACTAATTATTAGGGAAATGCAAATCAAAACTACAATGAGACACCATCTCTTACCAGTTAGAGTGGGTATTACTAAAAAGTCAAAAAATAACGATGTTGGAGATGCTGCGGAGAAAAGGGAACACATATACACTGCTGGTGGGAATGTAAATTAGTTCAGCCACATGGAGAGTAGTTTGGAGATTTCTGAAAGAATTAAAAATAGAACAATCATTTCACCCAGCATCCCCATTATTGGGTATATATCCAAAAGAAAATAAATCATTCTACCAAAAAGACACATGCACCCATATGTTCAAGACAGCACTATTCACAATAGCAAAGATATGGAATCAACCCAGATGCCTATCAAAGGTGGATTGTATACAGAAAATGTGGTACATATACACCATGAAATACTATGCAGCCATAAAAAGGAACAAAATCACGTCCTTTGCAGCAGTATGGATGCAGCTAGAGGCTATTATCATAAGCAAATTCATGTGGAAACAGAAAATCTAATACCACTTGTTCTCACTTTTAAGTGGGAGCTAAACATTGCATACATACAGCCATAAAGAGGGTAACAACACACACTAAGGACTACAAGAGGGCAAAGGTTAACTAGAAGGCCAAGGGCTGAAAAACTACCTATTGGGTACTATACTCACTACTAGAATGATGGGTTCAATTGTACTCCAAACCTCAGAATCATGCAATATACCATTGTATAAAATATACCATTGTAATACAATGTATTACAGTGTATACAATATACCATTGTAAAAAACCTGCGCTTGTACTTCCTGAATCTAAAATAAAAGTTGAAAAGCTGGAAAAAAGAAAAATAGCAAGAAAAACAGAAGTAAAACAGTCAGCTTTCCACTTGCAGTTATACTTGATCTTAGCCATGTGTTCCTTTCTAAAAGGTAGTACAATTTGGTATTTGTTTACCTTTATTTCCTCAGTTTTTGTCTGACTTACCCACTAGAACCTCGCTAAGGCAAGCACTATGTCTGTCTAGAGGAATTGTATTCCAGAAGCTAGCCCAGCGACTATTAAATAGTTGATATTCAGTCAGTATTTTTTGAATGAATGAAAGAAGAAACAAAGAAGAAAAGCAAAAATATAGATTATTATTATTGTGCATCATTCACTACTGAGATTATAAAATGCATAAAGCAATCCCTTCCCATCAGGTATCTTACACTGTAATCAGAGAAAAAAGAATACAAGATGTAAAAAGGAATTAAGAGTGCTGAATGAAGAGACATTGCATGCCTCAGAAGTTCAGAGGAAGAGCAAAGAGTACTGACGGATGGAATTACTAAGGATACCTATAGCTAGCCAACAAAAAGAGAAAAGAAAAACATTGGGATTCTTCATCATCATCAACCTCTGAATGTTTTCCATGCTTCAAAAACCATCAGAGTTTCTCTAATATGCTATTTCATGTCAAACCCTAGCTGTCACAGTGAAAGAATTCTGCTTTCAACACTCCGTGAAACCAGGGGTCGGCAGGAAGTCTACCAGTCACTTCAGTGATGACCACCTGCAAGACCCTCTAGGATATCACTGAATCCCTGGCCTCTGTGGGTCTATTAGCCCATCTGATGAAAAGGAGGAATCTCAGGGCACCTGGTGCCCTGAAGTATGCTACTCCTGTCCCCTCAGGCTGACTGGAGTGCCCATCTGCCTTAGTTTTCAACAACTGCAAAGAAGCCCAGCATGCAGGGAATGACATATCTACTGGGTAAGGGGGACTGTCAATTCTTAAAATGTTTGTCAGTTACTACAACTGCCTCCAAGGGTCTTTTTCATGCACCGTGGTAATTTTTATGCACCGTGGCAAAATATTTTCAACCTAAGTCCAAACATTTGGCAACTTCCTACACAGCATAATTCAGTATCATTAAGTATGATGATTTTCTAATTTTATCTACATTTTTAGATGATTATCACAGACTTTTCATTTCTGTTTGCTGCTTTTTGCTACATTTTCAGCTGATAAAGCATTAAGCCAATACATATGTCTCCTAGTATTGAGATTATTCATTATTAATAAACATTTTCGGTAAATATGTATTAGAATAACAAATATACAATGAGTTCAGTATGTATACTTCCATGTAATGTATGTGGCTCTATCAATATAACAATTCTAACAACAGTAGCTGTGGGGAGGACACCAGTAACTCATTTCATCATTTTAAGTCATACTTAATTATTTGGCCTTTTTTTTTTTTTTTTTTTTGAGACAAGAGTCTCACCCTGTCATCCAGGCTGGAGTGCAATGGCACAATCTCAGCTCCTGCAACCTCCACCTCCCTGGTTCAAGCGATTCTCCTGCCTCAGCCTTCCGAGTAGCTGGGGTTACAGGCACACACCACCACGCCCAGCTTTTATTTTATTTTTTTTTTTTGTATCTTTAGTAGAGACAGGGTTTCACCATGTTGGCCAGGCTGGTCTAGAGCTCCTGACCTCGGGATCCCCCCACCTCGGCCTCCTAAAGTGCTGGGATTACAGGCATGAGCCACCACACCTGGCTGGCCAATTCATTTCATTCTAAACACTTCGGCAAGAAAACACAGAAATTGATATATAGATCTTGCTTTGTGCTATAAAACATATTTTTCTGCCATTTGTCATCTCTGCAAAATTAAATTTACATGTTTCCCCTAAGCTGAATAAAAATTGGTAAAATGATGGACTCTAGTCTACTGAAGAATAGTTTGTCCATGTATGATTTAACTGTTTTGGTGGATTCAGAAAATTTCCAGGGTTGCCCTAGAAATTTATCTTCCAGTGCTGCCTAATTATCAGAAACAAAGTAGTAAATATTCAAAAATATTCAGCATTTAGCTGAACTGTTTTGATGTCTATTTTAGGATATCCTTTAAAAATTCTAATTGTTCCATCAGAACCCTAAAGCGGAGTCTAGATTTATTTGTGCTTCCAATAGGAATGGTGACCTCTGGAACAGTCACCTGAAGATCACCTGAGAGTTTCAGGATGACTATATGGTGATGCAAATGCCAAACACATGTTCTGTTTTCCCTAAAACCTGACGAACCCTGAAAGTTGGTTGGGCTGTCCAACTGTCTACCAATAAGTAATACCTATTAAATGGTTCTACATGCCTGGCATGATGTTAATAATGGGTGACCAAGATAGACAGGGTGCTGCCTTCATGGGGCTTACATTCTGAACAATTAATTCAAATGTAAGAAATGTAAGAAAACAGAAGAACAAGGTTCAACAGGGAACTATAGCAGGGTGATTTAACTACAGTTAAAGGTTCAAGAAAGGTTTATTTGAGGAAGGACAATGAGCTGAAGATACTTTGGAAAATATATAGTAGAAGGAGGAACGTCCAAAAGGTAAGTCAGCATATGGTTTAAGCCTACTGGAACAAATTAACAAGCATGTGGCTGTTTATCAGTAGACAGTGGATTGTGTCCAGATCATCTAACTGAGAGAACAGAACTCTATCATTCTTTAGAAACGAATACAAAATAGAAGACTCTGTTCCACCCATGACTACTTTTTTGCAAATTATCTAGGACTAGAATGAGACACATTGGTAACTCAGGTGACAGAGTCTACACCTAGATCTGGACTTCATGGTAACATTCACCTTTAGTGACAGAATATTACATACACAATAGAAGAAAAGCCTACCACCATCCTGCTCCCAAAACAGCAGGTCTCTCTCAAAATGCCATCACAACCTGTCTCGTCATTACCTGAATGAAAGTTGGCAACCCTAATTTGCACATTACCTTTCAGGGTCATTAACAATTTTTAAATAACACTATCGAAATGATTGCTTCTTGAACACAATTTTTCTTTCATTAACTTAAAATAAATATCAAGTTTCATTAGACAATATATTTAAAAAATCTTTAAGTTTTAAGGAGAAGAGGAGTTTCTTTAGAGGTTGCCTAAATTTTGCCATTGGAAAAAAAAAAAAAAAAGCCAGAGAGGTGATTTGACTTGCTAAAGATCATAAAGCTAGAGTCAGAGCTGGAACTAAAATTCTAATTCTTATTCTAACATAGTTTTCATGATTACATATAGATATTTGTTATCTATATATTTTTTCTCTCAAGCATATGGGATAATGACTGGATGTAGACCAACAGCCATATTCAGGAAATAACTACTGGTCAACTTATTAATTAGGATTCTATTATGTGACAACTGTAATTTTATAAAATAGAATGAGATCTTAATATTAATAATAGTAATAGTGTGGGTTTGAGTCACAATTTGCAGTGATTATAAGCAATGACTATAAGAAACTAGAGAGCAAACTCTGACAGCAAAAGATGTTTAAATATGGCTTTAGTAATGACCCAGTGAAAATAACCCCAATTTTCCCAATTCAGTTTGACCTCCATGCTCTGTAGCTTCTTTATTCATTTTGTTGACATATGCAAACAACATTACACACAAGAAGTGCAAGGAAACCTTTCCATCACATTGCCTTAACACACTTGTTCTGCAAAGTATGTGCAGGCATTTCACAGAAAACCCACTAGAAAAATATTCTGCTGGAACACTTTACTAAAGGCAAATTCGATGCTCAAGAAAAGGCCACAGCCACTGATTCTTGCATGTGGCAGCACTCTGTCCCCCATCCTTTTCACAGAGCATCTGCATGCTCTGGGTCTCGTGCAAGGAACATGATCAAAACAACCTTTTTTTCTTCTACATCCCTTCTCTTCCATCCAGGTAAGAAGCTGTAGAGTTACACGGTAGATAATAAGTGGATGGAATCAAGAAATGACACCTTCCATCTGCCGGAGTGGCTATTTTGCTCACTTAGTCAGCAACAATGAACCATAGTCTGCCTTGAAAATGATACACATTCCCCTCCCCATCTCCAACATACACACACACATACACACATTCCAAGGAAAGGTTTAAAGCTTTTTTTTTTCCTCTCTCTCTCAAAAAAAAAAAAAAAAGATAGGGGTGGGCAAGAATGAGCATCTTTCACATTCTGCATTTTCAGAGTAAGTATCCAATGCAACTTGCCATGATAACTAAATTTATTATTAACTGTGTATTTCATGATGTTAGTGACAATATGTTAATGTGATTTTTCACGTCCTCCTGCAGTGAACAGATGGCTCCTTTTACTTTACTTTCCACATCAAGTGTGATTATTTCTTGGTGCCAAAAGCCACCTGCCGCTCCTCGGTCTCCAGTCTAATTTTTTATGTTGGTAAAACACAGCAGGACTTGTTATCAGTTGGATGGCGTCTTAATAAAAGGAGACACGCCAACATATTGACATCATGTTCAAGGGGAAATTTCAGCCCCTTCAAACCCTTAGCCCCCTTTTCCCACCTCCTTTCAAAAAGTGAGGAAAGAAAACAAAAAAATAACAAATAAAAAATAAATGCAAAGATCCCATCAGTTTCAAGATGTTTGATTACAATTATTGGGCCTAGAGCCAAGATGCTGATTTGGTCTCCCTTTGTTCCTAAACCCAAGCACCTCACTCAGGGCTCTGATCTTTCATCCAGTGTAATGATAATTAGCTGTAACATATTCCAAAGTCAAATGTAAGCAGGAATACATTAACATTGAGATCAGTGTCAGGGCAATTTTCACTGAGAAAATGACAAAGAACACACACACACACACACACACACACAATCAATCAAACATTTCAAGATTCAAATATTCATAAAATCACTTCCAGATCCGTGAATATTAAACTCATTGGCTTGTCTGTCATGTAATGCTTACCTAAAATGCCAAGGGCTCCTAATGTGAATGCGGTGGCTCCCACGGCCCATGCATAACAGAGAAAACATGAGTAATAAACCACGGTAGCTTGCTTTAATTTTTCCTTTCTTCATTAGAACAAAGAGGGATAGTACGTTAGGTGATTTGTGGTCCAAGAAGAGGTCTTCCAGGCGATTGGATGGTATGGCTCTCAACAGCTGGTCCAGCACATTTGGGAACAGCATGTAGAAAAATGCATCAGTGTTTTGAAGATTACCAACTGTGATGATGCATTGGTTATGACATGGTCTAAAAAAGTCAAATTTGCTAGCCACAAACTATATAAATGAATGCTCTTACCATCAGGTTGCACACTCTCAAATTCATGACTAAGATAAGTCCAAATTTGGTGAAATCTAAACTTTCCACTGATTCCCACTCTCGAGATTGAAAAGAGTGGCAGCATTCTTAGATGTCTGCAATTTCTTTCTAAGAGCCAAGGCATTAAACAGGCAGCTGGTTTCCTAGAATTTAAAAAGTTTATAAAAAGCAGAAGAAAATGCTTATAATGAAAGTACAACTATCTTAATCATTCATAATTAATGGTTTTCTTGGGATGAACAACTACAACTAGATTATTCTGCCACAGAGTCTCTCAAATTGATGTAAACGTAACAGCGACTTTTTTATTCCATTCACTCAACTGTCCCTCCAAACAAAAGAGCCTGTATGAAATAGGTCTCTTTGCACTGTTTTGCAGCTTGATCAGCTTGTATTTACATCACACTTTCCTAACATTTTATTATGAAAATTTGAAAACATATAGAAAGTTGAAAAAACTTTCATCAACATCGTATCTACCACACAGATTATATAATTATCATTTTATTATACTACTTTTATCATATCTTTCTATCTATACAATCCTCTGTCTCTTCATCAATCCATCTTATTATATCAGATTGAAAATGAGGCCTGGTGCGGTGGCTAATGCCTATAATCCCAGCTCTTTGGGAAGCTGAGGTGGGCAGATCACTTAAGGTCAGGAGTTCAAAACCAGCCCGGCCAACATGGTGAAACCCCATCTCTACTTAAAATACAAAATTTAGCCAGGCGTGGTGGCAGGCCCCTGTAATCCCAGCTACTCCAGAGGCTAAGGCAGGAGAACTGCTTGAACTCTGGAGGCGGAAGTTACAGTGAGCTGAGATCGTGCCACTGCACTCCAGCCTGGGCGACAGAGCTAGACTCTGTCTCAAAAAAAAAAAAAGAAAAGAAAGAAAGAAAGAAAAAAAGAAAAAGAAAAATGAATAACCAATAGCCTATCCGGCAAGCAAAATTAAATTTATCTTGACTTTACGATGATTGCTTAATAAAGTGAGGGCCATATTTAGTGGTGTTCATTAATCCATCCAACAAATACCACTTGAATTCCTGCTTTGAGTATAAGTGCTGAAAATACAGGATTGAATTAAATAACCAAGGTCCCTGACTTCATTGAACTTACAATTTAGTGTGCTTAACAGGAAAAAAATAATTAAACAAGTGGCTCTCTAAAACATGCACAGGAAAATATGTCATTAAGATAAGTACGTTAAGCTGGTACTGTTCTTAACTTAAAGGTTATAATAAGGGCAGTAAGAATGTTTGATGCACCACTATATCATGGCTTATAATGAAATCCATAGATAGCAACCTCTCAAAACATATTCACCATGTTACTGATTGAATGAGTAAATTTTAAATGTTACAATGTGAACACTACTTAAAACCTTCAATACTAAGTAGCTGCACTTTAGAAGAGTAGCCTTAAAGGTAAATGAATAATATACAAAGTCAAGTATGTTAACAACTCTATTTTTAACAATCCCATAATAAAAGACTTTTTGAAGAAAATCCCCTCATATATTTTTGTTGTTTGAACTATTCTGAATAGTATGTTCACCATTAAAGCATTTATGATTTTGTGGAATATAATACAAATGAAATAACAATTTTCTTGTAAAATTGAATGCCTTCACAAATAAGGTAGTGCCAACAAAGATTTCAGAAGTGCTTAAATCCTACATTAGAATATAAAGAAGCTATTATAGACAACAAAAATTTTAGTTGGTTTTGTTTTGTTTTGTTTTTGAAATAAAGAAGATAGTGGACTTCATTTAAGCTCCTTAGTTTTCGTTTGCTTGTTTTAAATACTGTTTATCAGCTTTGGTTAAACCCATCAGTAGTTTGCAATTACTCTAAGGAAGTTATTGCAATTTGGTAAACTTTCTAAACTATATTGGGACACTTATTATCTGATTATTTAGTGGCTACAATTTATTATCAGTGAAACTACTATGTAAGCCAGTTCTTTATAAGCAGAACTGACGATTTTATAAATAAGGTATTTGTATTAAAGACAAAATACTTAAAGTATTCCCAGACTCAAAACCTAATGGAATTAGGAACATTTGTTTGTAAATATTGGTGTGAACGGAGAGAGGGAATGTAGAAAAGAAGCTCTGGGTCAAATCTTTTTATTGCGTACATTAATCTATACACACAATGTTTACTCTTGCCAAATACCTGGAGAGAAAAAAGTTAAAACAATGTAAATATAAATTTGTTCCATGAAAATGCAGACATGTTATGGTTAACTGGAATACGGGTAAATGTTGCCTCTACAATTTTGCTTGGAAAAGCTTTGATAGAATTTTAGAAACAAAGACACAACCAGGAAAATCTGATCCAGTTTTTAATAATTTCTATACCTTACTTCGCAAATTAAGTCTCAATGTTCTTTCTTTCTCAGACTTCATAGTATTTCCTGAAGGGTTTTTGCTTAAATAAAAAATACGACCCAGATAAAATAGTGAAATAACAATATCACAGTTAATTTTTATGTTATTTTCTATCTTGTTCTATTTGGTTTTACTAAACACAAATGGGCCTTATCCTTGAGCTAATTCAGAAATGTAGCCTATGCCCTAATACAAAAAATTGCCATTCATTGACTGCATATTCAATATATTTTAATTAATGATTAAATAAGTCTTTATTCACCGACTCTATAGTTAATCTGAAAATTTAAGTTTCCATTTAGTGGAATTCCACTCTGGCCAAGATGTAGTAAAAAGGATTGGAGTTACCTTTTCATCTAAAACAATCAAAAATGGAAAAAATAGATGAAATAGTTCACATAATGTGCAAAATATAAAACAACAGTTCACAAAATGCTGGATATCACGGAATGAAAGGCAGTAATTTCTAAGAGATTAAAAACAAGTGACATGACTACTATGATTTCCCCAGCTTAGTTTCTTGAGAGAGTTTTGAAGCAACAGCACAGACAGGGAACCCAATTGAAACTCAGTGGAAACCTATGGCAAGGAGATTAGGCTGAGAGCCTAGAGAAACCAAAGAAGCTAGACTCTGCCAGGCATAGCACTGGAGAAAAAAGAGTTGCATAGAGAGAGAACTCCAGAGAGCTTTAGAGGGTCCCCCAGTGAGTATTCAGTTGGGTATTGATCAGTGCATGTATAGGAGAAAACTACTGAGGCTAACGAAAGATGCACCTGGAAAGACTAGAGATAACAGTATCCAGTGGTCACTCAGGGCTGGGAGGAATTACTGTTCCAAACAGCCTCATTTGTCAGGGGTGTTGGGTAGAGTACATAGAAAGATCTCTTCACAGTAAAGAGGAAGAATTAGCCCCAGACTGAGTACTATCCTTGTGCCATCTAAGAAATCTTAAAAGCAGACGCAAAAGAATTGAACTGTTTCCAAGTAATTTATCTGCATCCCAAAACAAAACTCAAGACCATTTATAGGGATACAAAAATATCAAGCACCCAGTCAGGTAAAAGTCACAATGTTTGGCATCTAATTAAAACTTATCAGGCATGCAAAGAAACAGGAAATACAAGCCATAATGAGGAGATAAGCAATCAATCAAAACCGAACCAGAACTGACACAGAGGTTAGAATTGCAGAAAATGAAATTAAAAGTTATTCTAACTGTATTCCATGTGTTCAGAAAGTTAAGTAGATATTAAAAAACCCAAATTGAGCTTCTAGGGATGAACACTACAATATGTGAGGTGAAAAATGTACTGGATGAATTAATAGCAGAGCAGACATTGGAGAAGAAAAGATTAGTGAACTTGAAGAGAGAGCAACAGAAACTATCTGAAATCAAGGACAAGGAGAAAAGGTAATTATAATGAGTAGGGCATCAATGGAGTCCCTAAGGGATAGAAGAGACAGAATAAAACACATTTGAAGAAATAATGGGCCCAAAGCTTTTCAAAGTCGATGAAACCTGTAAACCTACAGATTCAAGTAGCTCAGTAAACCCCAAGCAAAGAAAATAAGAAAACTATTCCAAGACACTTCATGATAAAACTGGGCAAAACCACTGATAAAGAGCAAAACCCTAAAGATAGAGAAAAATAGACATGTTAAAAATAATAGCAAAGTTCCACCTGAAACAGCAAGAGAGACGATGGTAGAGCAACAGCTCCAAGGTCCTGAAACTTAAAAAGAAAAAATATGTCAAATAGAATTCTATACCCCGAGAAAATACCTTTGAATATTACTATGAAATATATTTCAGATGTTCAAATTTGGAAGAATTCATCTCCAGCAGACCTGCACTATTAAGAAGGAAAATGATAACGTAGAGATATAGATCCACACAAAAGAGTGAACGCCGGTAACTGTAATTACATGGATAAATATATGATTTAAAAAAAAAAATTAAATCTTAGAAGACAACTGAGTGGCTGGAGGTGAAGCCTGGGCTGGAGGGGTGGGGTGAGAAGGCGCCGCGCCAGTTAAAGGGCAAAGGTTGCCTTGCGCCTGCGCCTTGTGCTCCTGACTGGCTGCGCTCCCTGCCCCCAACACCGCCGTGGCCTGGGAAACGGTCCCAGAGCTGCTGAGCCGACCTACTGGTGTCATGGCAGCCCCAAAGACAGCAGCTGTGGGGCCGTTGGTGGGAGCGGTGGTCCAGGGCACCAACTCCACTCGCTTTCTGGTTTTCAATTCAAAAACAGCGGAACTACTTAGTCATCACAAAGTGGAATTAACACAAGAGTTCCCAAAAGAAGGATGGGTGGAACAAGACCCTAAAGAAATTCTTCAGTCTGTCTACGAGTGTATAGCGAGAACGTGTGAGAAACTTGACGAACTGAATATTGATATATCCAACATAAAAGCTGTTGGTGTCAGCAATCAGAGGGAAACCACTGTAATCTGGGACAAGTTAACAGGAGAGCCTCTCTACAATGCTGTGGTGTGGCTTGATCTAAGAACCCAGACTACTGTTGAGGATCTTAGTAAAAAAATTCCAGGAAATAGTAACTTCGTCAAGTCTAAGACAGGCCTTCCACTCAGCACTTACTTCAGTGCAGTAAAACTTCGTTGGATGCTTGACAATGTGAGAAACGTCCAAAAGGCTGTTGAAGAAGGTAGAGCTCTTTTTGGTACCATTGATTCATGGCTTATCTGGAGTTTGACAGGAGGAGTTAATGGAGGCGTGCATTGTACAGATGTAACAAATGCAAGTAGGACAATGCTTTTTAATATCCATTCTTTGGAATGGGATAAAGAGCTCTGTGACTTTTTTGAAATTCCAATGGACCTTCTTCCAAATGTCTTCAGTTCTTCTGAGATCTATGGCCTAATTAAAACTGGAGCCCTGGAAGGTGTGCCAATATCTGGGTGTTTGGGGGACCAATGTGCTGCATTAGTAGGACAAATGTGCTTCCAGGAGGGACAAGCCAAAAACACCTATGGAACAGGTTGCTTCTTACTGTGTAATACGGGTCGTAAATGTGTGTTTTCTGAACATGGCCTTTTGACCACAGTAGCTTACAAACTAGGCAGAGAGAAGCCAGCATATTATGCACTGGAAGGTTCTGTTGCTATAGCAGGTGCTGTTATTCGTTGGCTAAGAGACAATCTTGGAATTATAGAGACCTCAGGAGACATTGAAAGACTTGCTAAAGAAGTAGGAACTTCTTATGGCTGTTACTTTGTCCCAGCCTTTTCAGGGTTATATGCACCTTATTGGGAGCCCAGTGCAAGAGGGATACTCTGTGGCCTCACTCAGTTTACCAATAAATGTCATATTGCTTTTGCTGCATTAGAAGCTGTTTGTTTCCAAACCCGAGAGATTTTGGAAGCCATGAACCGTGACTGTGGAATTCCACTTCGTCATTTGCAGGTAGATGGAGGAATGACCAACAACAAAGTTCTTATGCAGCTACAAGCAGATATTCTTCATATTCCAGTAATAAAACCCTTTATGCCTGAAACAACTGCACTAGGAGCTGCCATGGCAGCAGGGGCTGCAGAGGGAGTAAGCGTTTGGAGCCTTGAACCCCAGGCTTTGTCAGTTCTCAGGATGGAACGATTTGAACCACAGATCCAGGCCACAGAAAGTGAAATTCGTTATGCCACATGGAAGAAAGCCGTAATGAAGTCAATGGGTTGGGTTACCAGTCAGTCTCCTGAAGGTGGTGATCCTTCTATCTTCTCTAGTCTGCCTTTGGGATTTTTTATAGTGAGTAGCATGGTAATGCTAATTGGAGCAAGATATATCTCGGGTGTGCCATAATAATACCAGCTATGGAGTCCCAAGATGTAAACATTTTACATAATGAAAGCATATAGCAGTTCTGCCTCTTAATATAATGACACTATTATAGACTCTGATTTTGTTTATAAACCACTTGCTACATGACCCATGAAAACCCTAGACTTGTGACCTGAAATAAAGAAAATACGTTAGAAGAGCACTGTAGAAATATTGGGTGTGTTTTTTTTAACATCGACAGGGTTGGGCCAGCCATCTTGAAGGCTGGCCCCCTCCATTGCCATAACATTCTGCCCCATTCTTTCTAAAACATAGGCTATTCAGATTCTATTCATGGAATCTTTTTATCAACTATCCTCTAACACTTATGGACCCAGATTTGGTTCTTTGTGTTACACACACTTGATTAAGAGGTGTAATTAATCTGCTAAAATTAAGGGACTTTTTGTCATTGTTATTCTTGTTTTTAATAGGCTACAAGTCCTCCTTTCTACATATTAGAGAGACTACATCTTAACTGAATGTTTAATGGAAATATTTGCTAAATTCTTACAATAGAAATTTAGTATTCTCATAGCTTAGATATTTTCCTGAAAAATATTTGCCAAATTGAAATTTATTAGACAATTTACATGGTCTCATTAATTACTATTTTACTGAATTATTGTGTGAATCCTAGAGGGACAGGGACACTATTTCCCTTTTTTATATCATGTCTATATCATATAGAGTAGCTCATTTATAAGTTGAAAGTACATTGTAGTCAGTAGATTATAACATGGATGGTCCTAAATACTTTAAGGTAAACAGCTATATACATTTTGGGGAATGTGTATACATATTATTTATCAGGAGAAACCTACAAAGGCAGTATTTAAAAGTTAAATATGTTTTATGCTGCTACAAAAAGTATATTATGATTGCACCAAATTTCTTATAACTTACTCTTTTATTTAATATATTAGCTGGATATATGCTGGGAAAAAACACTGGAATATTTCAGAAAATATTGCTTTCAAGTAGGAAAAAACAAATGACTGTTCAAACAAAAATAATAATATAGTATGAAATGCAAGCATGTCTAAAAGAAAACAATAGCAAAGAAGAGGATAAATGAAGGTGTAGTAGTTTGAGACTCATATACTGTGTGGAAAATGATGTATCACTTGAAGTTATAGTGATAATGAAAGATATATACTATAAATCCTGAAATAACAAAATGTTATATTAAAAATATGCACTAGAACTACTAAAATATTCAATTCTAAAGAAGATACAAAACAGATGAGGAACAAAGAAAAGGTAGGAAAATATATTTAACCCTAACCATACCAACAAGCACATTAAATGTAAATGATTTGATTACCCCAATTAAAAAGGAAACTTGTCAGATTTAAAAAATAAAACCAAAATATACACTGCCTCCAAGAAACATACTTTACACATAAGAAAAAAAGGTCAAAAGTAAAATGATAGAAAATGGATATACCAAGTTAATAATAATAAAAAAGAAATATCAGAAAGTAAATTTCAAAACAAAGAATATTAAAAGTGATAAGATCATTTGCAATGATAATGGGGTAAATTCAAGAGGACATAACAATTCTAAATATTTATGCACCTCATGATGGAGCTTCAAAATACATAAAATCTTATAGAACTGAAAGGAAAAATAAAAAGTTGTGCAATAACAGGAAGATATTTCAATACCTCTTCCTCAATATTTGATAGAAAAAGTAGTTAAGTTTACTAAGATATGGATTTTAACAACACTATCAAACAACATGACTTAACTGACATTTATGGAAAATGCCACCCAACAATAGGAGAATACATATTCTTTTCAAGTGCACAGTGAATATTTACCAAGATTGACCATATAGAGGCCAAAAAGCAAGCCTCAAAAAATTAAAAAAGATTTCTTACAAAGTATGGTGTCTGAGCACATTAGAATTATACATCGACACTAGAAAAATCTTTAGAAAAGTCCCCAAACATTTGAAAACTAAGTAACAAACTTTAAAATAATTGATAAGTTAAAGAGATAAAGAGGGAAAATAGAAAGTATCTGGAATTGAGTGAAAATGAAAGCACAACATATTAAAATTTATGAGAGATTGTTAAAGCAGTACTTTAGAAGAATTTTATAGAACTAAATGCCTGTATTAGAAGGGAGAAAAGGTCTTAAATCACTAACCTCTGCTTCTACCTTAAGAAACGAGAAATGGAGTAATAAATTAAGCCCAAGCTAAATAGAAGAAGTAAAGAAATAGTAAAGATGAGAGCAGTAGTAATCAATTAATTCTAAAGAAGATACAAAACAGATATAGAAAATAGAAAACAATGACAAAATGGCAAAATTGATATAACCAAAAGTTTGTTCTTTCAGAGTGTGAATATGATAAACTTTTAGCCTCCGTTACTAGAAAAAAAGGAGAGAAGACAAAAATTATCCATATCAGGAATGAGATTGACATTACTACTACAGGTCCTGTAGGATATTAAGGATAGTAAAATGAGAATATAGAAATATTATGAAAACCTTATGCCAGTAAATTTGATGACTTGGATAAGATGAACAAATTCATTGGAAAACACAAACTTCTTAAACTCAGGAAAATATAGATAACCAGAATGGCTCTATATCTCTTAAAAATATTGAATTTCTAGCTTAAAACCCCCCTTACAAAGAAAACCTCAAGCTCAAGTGGCTTCTTTCACACTTATAAGGAAGAAATAATGCCTATCCTACACAAATTTTTCCAGAAGACTGTAAAGAAGGGAATGTTCTCAAACTCATTCCATGAGGCCAGGTTTATCGCATTATCCTGGTTCCAACACCAGGAAAAGAAGATGTTACAAGAAAAAACAACTGTGGACCAATATCTGTCATAAACATGGATGCAAAAATTCTGAACAAAATTTTAGCAAATTAGTTTATCAATATTTGAAAAGAATAATACATCATGACCAAGTGAGGGAATGTAACAATAGGATAATGAGTCAGCATAATTAGAAGACTCAATGT
Organism: Homo sapiens; assembly: GCF_000001405.40. Taxonomy (NCBI): domain Eukaryota; kingdom Metazoa; phylum Chordata; class Mammalia; order Primates; family Hominidae; genus Homo; species Homo sapiens. Next base: position 79,403,531 of record NC_000004.12, on the reverse strand, counting down.
ACTTCACCAGATTAACAAACTAAAAAAGAAAAACTACATGAGATAGAAACTACACAGTAACCAGAATACCTAAAAAACAAAACAAACAAAAAAAGAGTGCCTCTACCAAATGCTAGTAAAGATGTAGAAGAACTTGCCTTTCATGTTTCTTGTGAAAATATAAAATAGTGTAAGCACTTTGGAAAACAGTTTGAGAATTTCTTCAAAAATTAAATATACATATGATCCTAGGTATTTACCCAAGAGAAATGAGAACATATGTCCATACAAAGACTTGTTCACAGGACTTATTATGGCCAAAAGTTGTTTACAACTCAAATGGCCACCAACGGGTAGAAAGATAAACAAACTATGATATATCCACACAATGGGATACTATTTAGTAACAAAAAGAAATGAACTATTGATAAACACTATAACATAGTTGAATTTCAAAATAATTAAAGGAAATAAGCCAGACGAAAAGAGTATAGTATGATCCTGTCCTTAGAAGATTCTAGAAAATTCAAAGTATTGTACAGTGTCAGAAAGCAGATCAGTAGCTGCCTGGGAGCTGGGAGAGGGGTGATGAGAAACTGGCAGGAAGGCTTAGGAGGCATGATTTTAAAGGGGCACGAAGAAAATTTGGGGGGTGAATAATATATTTATTATAGTAATTATTGCGGTGGTTTGGAGGATAAATACATATGTCAAAATTAATCAAATCAAACACTTTAAATATTTGCAGTCAATAATACCTCAGTAAAACTATTTTTAAAAGGAGAAAATTATCTTCAAACTCTTAAGGAATATAGCCAAAGTTTATTCAAGTAGCTTAATCTCTGCTCTTTATTATGCATACTGATGTATCCTCACTGAGTCTGCAGTGAGCTAGCATGGGGTGTACCAGTTCCTCTCTAGCAGGTCTGTGAGCTCTATTTGAAGTCATTTGTGTGATTAGGCTGGAGAAGTACATGATAATGTCTACAATCATTTAAAACAAATTAATTTCTCATTTCATTCTATCCGGTCATAATTCTCCTTCTGGGACCTATTCCAAAGGACCTTATGAAGAGTTACAAACAAAGATGTCATAAGAAAATCAGAAATAAAAGTCCTCAAACTCAGCATCTCACTCTCACTCCTTCCATATGCACATTCCTGTGCTTATCAGCTTATCTTTTTTAGGTATCTTTGCCTTTAAAAGCCTCATTTTCTTAACTTAACTCATAGGATATTGGTAAATTACAATACTTTACCCCAAGGCTATAAAGGAGCTTCTGTGTATTTTATTATAAAATTATCTAATTAATAATTTCTCTATATTGCCACTAAGCAGAACTACATGGTGAAATTATGATGATGGGGTCTCACTGCATGCATGTTATGAAACAGCAAGTCATCATTTAATGTCAGGCATATGTGCGAGTGAGAGAGCATGAGCTGGAACACTAACCAGGAGAAAGAAAAGCACCTAATTCTGATGCTATTTTCCGAGAAGCCATTTTGTAAATTTAAGTTGTGGCTGGGAGGGGAGGAGGACAGTAAGAAAGAATAGTGAGAGAGAGAAAAAGTTGGAGGACAGGAAGAGAAAGAGAGAGAGAGGAGAAGAAGAAAAGAGAAACAAGGTGAGGAAGGGAAAGAAATGTTAAAGGTATCCGAAGAGAAGACAGATGTATTATTAAATCTAATTAAAAACACCTCATGTGATATAAATGTAGAAGCAGCACTAAACAGCTAGATCATTTCTAACTGAGCTCTGGGAATGGAAACCATATACACTGCACTGAGAGAGATAAGCATCTCCCCCTCCCCACCCTACTCAGAATCTGAATTATTATCTGTTTGTGTGTGATGTCTGGTGCTTATATTATCATTTTGATATTAATATTCATAATCTACCAAGGAACCTATTGTTTCACTCATGGTAAGCCCTCGTTCTCAATGCGTGAGTCTAAATGTTACATTATACAATCCTCATTTTGGTGGGAAATTATGTACCAACTCTATGACTGCTCTATATGGAAAATTTGCTTTCATGCCTTTTTTTAAATCTTGTGAACTAATAAGATCCCCTAGGGTAATCTTCCAGCAAAGTCTAGAATAAATACAATACCATCTCAGTAAGTCACCTACTTTAACCTCCCACTGAAATGACAGCTCTATAGTCTGTCTATATTCTGATTGTTTCAATCAATACAAAATGAATAAACTTAATAAACTTAATATTTAAATAGCCCCCATCGTTTCCATCAACAACCTTTACAGCTCAATTTATTCGAGGCTTGGAGAAATTGCATGTGATCCTTGTTCTCTATGTGTTTAGCATACATTATACTTCATTATCATATCAGCCCTCAACAAAATGATTTATTTTAGAAAAGAAAACAAGAGAAGGCCTTGACCTTTGGTGGGAAAAAAAAACAGAAGGTGGTAAGACTGTAGTGTTAATCTCATATTAAACTACCTATGAAATTCAGTTTACCGTTACAAAAACTAACAAACCTTTCTTATATTCAGTTATTAGAATATGTTTTTCAAGTGTCATAGGAAAGTCAAGTTTGGAAAATATTTATAATGCCAAAAATAGTAAGGAAACACTATACTGTCTATACCAGTAGCTTTGAAACAGAGTTGAGCAAAACCAGGACAAAAATGTTCTAGTAACTACAAATAATGATAACTCTATTTTGTTTAGATTTTTCTCCAAACAGAGGTAGACAATATGCTTAATTGCACCTCCCTGCTTCCACCTTTGTGGGCCTCAGCAATGTGACCAGAGCAGGGGATGAATAGACAACCTGGGAAAGAATCTTTAATTAGGTTCTCTCTCTCTCTCTCTCTGCTCTCTCTCTGCTCGCTCGCTCTCTCTCTCTTTCTCTCTCTCTCTGCTCTCTCTCTCCTCTGAGAAAAAGTTTGTCTGGCCTCAAGTGCACGTCACTGAATCAACTGGTCACTTCTTCCACATTCTATTTCAAATAGGTCATAGATATTTACCATTAGCTCGGTTTTATAATTAACAACATTGAGGAAAATAACAAGAAAATCATCTTCACAATCCAAAAAAGTTATAGCGTTAGCATTTAGGAGATGATTCATCTGGGGAATAGGATTCGTTCTGTAGAGTTTGGTATTCTCAAAAATAGTCTTCTCAAAGAAAACTCCAAGACTACATTCATGTGCAAGAAGAGGTTGTAGTTAGGTAAGGCTCAAGAGACCGTCTAATCCAACATCATCTAATACAATGAAGTAGGTGAAAATTTTAAGTCACTTACTAGATGTCATTAAAACATGTTGAAAGAAAGATTAGAAAAAAAGTTTTTAGATTTCTAATGTTCCTTTAATTTCACCCAATTGATAGTGCTTTTCTTGGACTACATCTACCTATACCTACTATCTAAAAGATGAAAGTGAAGGTAATAATAACCATTTATTAGACTTCTTATGAAACTTAAGTAATGTCTTGACCAATGAATAATTTGGGGCACATTTACATACTCATACACGCATACAAATTCTATGGCCCATTAAGGCAGACACATTCTGGAAGATTCTGAACTATAATGAAATAATTCTCTGTTCACTCATGATTTTCTATTCCCGGAAAAAAAAATTGTTTACAGATTCTCTGGGGAATCATTTCTTTAGTCACAAAATGTGCCAGAAATTGGCAAGTGAACTGGCAGGTGTATCATTCTTTTCTAGATACAAAGCTTGTTACTAACTTCCGTAACATTTGTTTCCTTTCAGATTTGCCAGTTCATCCCTTCCTATCAAAGAAAGAAGGAAATTTCCTTCTCCTTCTCCTGTTTGTCTCCGTCTTTTCCCTTCTCCATTCTCGTCTTTGTCTTTTTATTTTTTTCTGAAACAAATTCATTGAGTCATATCATATGGTATTTACTACTCGTATTCACAAACATCAAAAGGATGGCAATCTGTTTAATATCCTGCAGATGAACATGCGCTAAAAAGTGGCATTGGCAATTGGGCATTTGCTGCCCACTGGGCACCAAGCAGCGATGTGCTAAAGATTTGGCGTGCTGTTCCATAGAGAAGAATGACATTCATTACAGTTGTATCAAAAACAAATTATGTACCAAATGTTTGCCTCAATAAGTACTTGGACAATCATTTGTCTGTCTTTCATTCATCCCTTCACAGCTTCTACCCTTCAGCTCTTGTCAATGTCCAGTACTTTGTATTTGTGTTCTTCTCTCATTTGTTTTTGTGAGTTCACTACAGTTTCACTTTCTTATACCAGCCCTGACATGTATTACGAGAATCATGCAATGCCCAAATAAGAGGAACAAGGACAAAAGCAAAATATTTTAATAGCATCTCATGGTGTCTCATTTTTGTCATGTAACATATAGCTGCTACTGGAGAACTGCAGGTGTTTACTTTTCATTTTCCAGATGTCAAAGACTGTTATAAGTTAACCTACAATTTAGAAAGAGAAACTTTTACATTTAAAATATATCCCATCGTAGTTCATTTTGCTCCTATAACAGAATACCTGACACCGAGTAATTTATAATAAACAGAAATGTATTGGCTCACAGTTCAGGAAAAAGGGAAATTGTAGATCAAGGGGCCAGCATCTTGTGAGGGCCTTCTTGCTGTGACGTTGCATGGTGGAAGGCAGAAGGTAAGAGGGGACTAACTTGCCCTTTTATAACAGCACCAGTCCCACTCATCAGGGTGGAGCCCTCATGGCCTAATCACCACTCCAAGTTCCTACCTCTCACAGCTGTTACAATGGCAATTAAATGTCAACATCTGTTTGGGAGGAAACAAACCTTGAAACTATAGCATACACCTCATGAATTTTAGCTGGAAATTAGAAATCACAGATGTCAGACCCGTTATCTTAAAGATTTAGAAACTGGGTTGCAGAGGAATTTATGGTTCCAGGTCCAAGGATTGGTTTGTGCCTGATAATGCAGGGATTAGAACCCAGGGGAGCTTTCTTCTATATGACACTGCCAATTTTCTTTGAAGATTTCAATTTTAAGAATAAAAACAGTTTTCTCCAAGCTCATACTTGGAGATATTTGTAAATGCAGTAATAATCACACAGGGGTTTCTCTCCAACATTCAATTAATTCCTGAGGAAAGAGGTGTGTCAGGGGAACTGAATTTAAAATTGCTTTTCTCTTCCTTCCCCTTCATTCACACTTTTAGTTCAGGCATCACTATTATCCCCTGCCTGATATGGTACAGTAAACTGATTATCTTGTTTCCTCTGTAGTTTATCCTCGACATTTGTAATATGATTCTCCCTCCTTTCTGATTCCTTCCCCTTCTAATCTCTGGCACTGTTGGATTTTAACATCGTTTTCCCCCCAGGTCCCCAGATTCATCTTGGAAAGGTTACAACCCCTCACCTTATGACCCCTAGAAAGTCCCTGGTCTTTTTATCTTAAGACAGAGCCTTCTGGGTTTTCTCATGCTTTTCAGAAAGGAAGATCCGAGCTCCAGCTCCGCATTCTCTCAAAGCCCTCCTGGTTGTTTTCATGGATGTTTCTTGAGCATCTTCTTCCCTAGTCCTTGCTCATCAGCACGATGTTTGTGGGCTCTGTTTGGTGTTGCCACAGGTGTTCTTAATCATCGCAGATCTGGATGATCAAGACAACAATTCATGACTCCAAGGAAGGGGGGTGATAAAAAGGCAAGAGGCGATAAAAAGGCAAGGCACAGAATGGGCAAAAATATTTGCAAATAATATATCCGATGAGGGATTAATATCCAGAATATATAAAGAAATCCTACCACTCAATAACAAAAAACAAAAACAAAAACAAAAGCAACCAAATTAAAAACTGAGCAAAGGACTTTAATAGACATTTCTCTAAAAAAGATATACAAATGGCCAGTAAAAACAGGAAAAGATGCTTAACATCATTAGTCATTAGGGAAATGCAAATCACAATCACAGAAAGATACTATTAGGATGGCTATTCAATTAAAAAAAACAGAAATAAGTGTTGGAGAGGATGTGGAAAAATTAAGACCTCTGTGCATTGCTAGTGGTAATATAAAATGTTGCAGTTGTTGTGGAAGACAGTATGGCAGTTCCTCAAAAAGTAAACATAGAATTACCATAAGTCAGCAATTCCACTTCTAACTATACTCTCAAAAGGAGTGAAAACATGGGTTCAAACAGATATATGTACATCAATGTTCATAGCAACATTATTCACAATAGCCAAAATTTGGAATCAACACAAATGTTTGTGGAAAGATTAATGAATAAACAAAATCTGCTATGTACAATCAATGAAATACTATTCAGCCTTAAAAAGGAGTGGGATGCTGACATTTGCTACAAAATGGATAAGCCTTGAGAACAATATACTCAGTGAAATAAGTCATACATAAAAACACAAATATTGTATGATTCTATTTATAAGAGGTGCCTGGAACAGTCAGATTCCTAAAAACAGAAAGTAGAATCATGTCATCAGATGCTAGGTAAAGGGAGTAATTATTTTTTAATGAGCATGCAGTTTCAGTTTGGGATGATGAAAAATTTCTGAAGATGGACAGTGGTGATGATTGCACAACAATGTGAATGTACTAAATGTCACTGAATTGTACACTTAAAATGGTTACAATGATAAATTTTCTATTGTGTATATTTTACCACATGAAAACTTTACTTTTTTGTGGTTATGACCCATCCAGGGCTGATATAAGTAACATCTAATACCACCTCATGGATCATGCCTCTCATGTAACAAATAACTTAAAATTATCATTATGCTAACAATTTCTAAATATGCTGTTAGCCCTTCTCCAAATTCATATATCCCCCTGGTTATTGTTTTTTTTATAAAAAATGTCCTATTCTCCAAATAATAAAGTTCAGAGGTGATGTTTTTTCAATACGCATTTTAAGATAATATTCCCTAAGAAATACGGTAATATTTGCTACCCTGAAAACTTTCCACAATCCAAGTGAAATTCTCTCATCAGTCTCTTGTTATACGAGTGTACTAGTGTAATTGCATTGAAATGAAAGTATAGTTAATTATGAACAATAGGAGAACAAAAAAAGGGAGAGATTGAAAGACCCATAGCAGAATTCTCATTAGAATGCTTCAAAAGAAGTCTTAACACATAGGGTTTATCTTAATTCAATTATTCTTGTCTTCTAGGAAAATACATGCTAATAATAAAGAACTTGACTTTGTGTGCTAAAATATATGCTCTAAAGCTAGTTTATCTTTAAACATGGTACATTATCCATAAAGCATTAGTTTCAAATTTTAGTATTCTTTGCATAATAACCTTGAAATAATATGCATTTTAGTTTTCAGAATCTTCAAGAATGTAAAGAGAGATTTTTTTCACCACAGAGAGATTTAAGCCCTTCTCCCTGATCCTTATCTGTTCCCTTTCTCACATTTCCTGGAAAAAAAAAAATGGGCATGACCCCAAGTGTGGCTCTGAAATTGTTGCTCTGTAAAGATATCCATCTGTTCCTTTCATTGTCTTCCTAGTCATATTTGACTGGGTTTGGGATGTCCAAATACATTTCTGTTATTGTCAATACTACAGAGCCAAGAACTCTTTGGACAAGTAAACTGCATTACAAGCAATTGCCTTATGCGTCCTCAAAAGAATTGCCCTTGCCGGGATCCAGAACCTTTATTGCCAGAGAGAATGTGGAATATTCAGTAGGAAAAAAACACACTTGATATTAGACCTGCTATCAAAATGACCATTTTAAAGATCATACTATGTAACAGAAAAAAAAAACTCATCAAATGTCCAGTGAATATGGCATTTTAAACTTGACCTTTCCTAATGGGCTAATATTTCAGAAATTTTTATTTTTCATGGAAGTTTTAAATAGTTTATATCTCATACATTTTACTTGATATAACTACATAAGGTTAAACAGAATATATAAATTATATAAGAAGACATAATTTCTGTTTATTCTTCTCTAGGGTGTAATCACAGGGCCAATTTTTTAAAATGCAACAGAAAATTCATTGAGCTGGAGGTTTTTTCCTAATGAATAAGCATAGACTTGAATTTTATTCTTTTTATTCCCAGAGATCTTCTGGGTCAATCTTGAATTATAACTTGCTTCTGAGTTGCTACCTCTTAAAGCACAAATATTTATAGAAGTATGTTTTTGGTAAGTACTTCTATTTTTACAAATAGAAAATTTTACAGATTTTAAATCCAGATATGGAAAACCCTAGATAGTGGTACTATATCACTAGATTCATTAATCCCATTGTCGTTTACTGAGTGTCCTGTATATACCAAGTACCGTGTCAGCTAGACATTGGGAATATGAAGATGAATAAGATAATTTACCTATAAAAATGTATAGTTTTATAGCAGAGGCAAGCACACATATTAAATTAAAATGTGATAGCCATTTCCCTGGGCTACATCAGACTGGGGATAAAACCAAAGAAAATAATAAACATTATTTCTTGAAGATGTCTCATGGGAATGCCATCTCCTCATGCTCTTCCCTTTGGTCATGTAGGGCTGCTCCAGCATTCACGCTAAGATTTGCCTTAGAGCAGAGGCAATGGTGAGTGTTCTATTCACAAGAGTGCCATTTGTTTTGCTCACTATTCTTTACACAATCTCACCTACACATCTTCCTTTATAGGTATGTAGCCTTTTTCTTCCTTTCCACATCTAAAGAACATTTTAAAATATTCATTCCAGAACCCATCACCAGAAATTTTGACTTAATTTCTTGGCATATTTTTTGAATTATAGAAGTGATTCTAATCTGCAGCCACGTTTGAGAACTGCCCTAACAGACTTCCCACTATAATAGGTTTATTGACCCAACCAACCAAGCCAGCACACAATCAAGCCCAGCCTCATAGACCTAGAATCATTAAAAGGTGGTCTGGTCCCTGGCCTTTTTCATCCCTTGCTTCCGGGCTCTAAAATTGATTCTCAATAGGGCTGAAAGAGACTGAGATGAAAGAGGCTTGACCATCCTCCAGTCTACTAAAATGGGGAACGTTACTCCTATTACTCTATGATTTTCAGTACTCAATTCCAAATAGATATAGGGAGATTGTTCAGCTATGTGAGCAAATAAATCCAGTTTCAGCTGCCAATTAGAGTTGGAATTCTATCATACGCAACTGGAAAGACTTCCACTAATATAACCTCATTTCCAGGCTAAATTTTGTGTTACCTGCTCAGAGTTCCTATAAATTATTGTACACTCCTCTAGGAGCAGTTAACAAATAACATCTTAATTACATGTTTATCTCCTTTGTCTACTAGACCACAAGCTTTCTTAAGCTAGGAGCTCTCTTATTTTTGTGTCTATGTGTATTCTTTTCCAGTAGAGTTTGGCAGAGAATAGATGTTCAATTAAAAAGAAAACAAAATGTGATGAATGGGTAAAAAATGAATAGCTCCCTAATATTTAAAGCCTTTATATTATTTCTTCAACAGAAGTAACACCTAAAATTCTAAAATGTTTCTAAAGAAACTTTTAATTAAAACACTTACAAAATAATATGGTCTGCCACTGTGGCTCATGTCTGTAATCACAGTGCTTTGGGAGGCCAAGGCAGTAGCATCATTTGAAGCCAGGAGTTTGAGACCAGCCTGTGCAGCATACTGAGACCCCATCTCTACAAAAATACAAAAATTAGCCAGGTATGGTGATGCATGGCTATAGTCCCAGCTACTCAGAAGGCTGAGGTAGGAGAATCACTAGAAGCCAAGAGTTTGAGGTTACAATGAGCTATGGTAGTGCCACTGCATTCCAGCCTGGGCAATAGAACAAGACCAAATCTCTAAAAATTACAATAATAATAATAAAATAATAATATTAATACTGCTTAGCACATCAACAGTAAATCTTAAATTCCACTTAGCTGTCTACCCCACTGTGCTATCACATTCTACAACTGAATACCTGTTGGCAAGTTGGCAGTATTTTAAGTCATGCATAAGATAGTGTAAAAAAATAAATCTAAGCCTAGAATTCTGAAGGTACCACATTTTACCCATTGTAAACACTGTGTTTTGAAAAATTGTACCTATCACTAAGTCTTCCATTAAGTCTTTCTTGATTTAAAGCTAATGGGTCAATAAAATTACTCAAACTATGGCCAGCCATTGAACAGAATAAAGTTGATTATATCATTTGTTTATTTATCTGTACTTATTTTTTTCTGAATTTTCTTCATTCAAAATGCAGCACATTTCCCTAATAAACACTTTGTTATTTTATTAAAGAATCACTGAGTATAAACATATCCTATCTGAAAAAAAAATCAATATTAGATACTAAAGTTGGAGCGATTGAACAGTGGGATATTAACAGGCATCTTGTCTGCAATATAAAATCCAAAAGTGCAAATTCTTCTATTATATAACCTATAAAATTTCATGTGTCAAAATAGGTTATCACTCTCTTGAGACAATCACAACAAGCTCTAATCCATCTTTGCTCCAATTGATTAGAAAATTCCAATGTAATGAGTACCAGCCAACTTTAAGATGCAATAGACTGTTTGTGTCCGCTCACCTTAATGCATGTGTTGAATGAAATATCAACCTTCTATATGATGACATTAAAAGGTGGGGCCTTTGGGAGGTAATTATGTCATGAGTGTGGAGCCGTTGTGAATGGAATTAGTGCCCTTATAAAATAAATGCTAGAGAGCTCTCTTTTCCTCTTCTTCTGCCTTGTGACGATACAAGGGGAAGACTTTCTGCAACTTGGAAAAGGGTTCTCAGAGTTGGAAGCTGCTAGCACCCTGACCTTGGACTTCCAGCCCCCAGAACTCTTAAGAGATAAATTTCTGTCATTTATAAGCCACTCAGTCTATGATACTTTGTTTTAGTAGTCTGAACTAAGACATACTGTTAACTAAAACTTTTTTCTAACTTTTAGCAATTATATCTTAAATTTGGATTTAATCTTGGACTTACACTTTAGACACTTTGCAATAAGTTAGATTGAAATGCATATTATTTCCATAAAGACTTAATTCTCAAATAAAATAATATATTCATACTCTAGCTTAGCCAATATTTTTGTTACAAGTATTTGATTAAAGCTGATTGAAAAATGAAGGATTTTTAAATCTTATTTAGTTCTATTTCCCCCCATTTTAAAGGAATGAAAGGCACTACTTTTATAATAAGGTGAAAATCTACCAAAAAAAATGACAAAAGCAATGAAGTATTACAAACTTTAGGTATGGGAAGAAGACAAATAAAGAAATTAGACTACACTAAATAGCTTTATTTCCTAACATGATCCACTTGAAGTGTTTTCTATTTATCACAATGAATGAAGTCACTATCCAGTCTTCGAATCCAGAAACCTGAAAATCCTACTTAATATCTCTGTTCATCTTACCACACAGCTCCTCGCTCTCTAAACTATATCCATGTTGTCATAAAGTCTTGCCAATCTTAGATCATAAATATTGCTTAAATCTATTTACGTTTCTCCAGCTCTGCTACTGATACCCTAGTTCAATGTATTGCTGTTTCTGACCAAATATTTACTTTAACAGCATCCTAACTATTGTCCTCGCATCCTTCCAGGTTTTCACCATACCACTATCCCCTTTAGAAACAAGTGAGTTGCAACTTAAATGAAAATTTAATTACTTATCTTCTCCTCTCTTTTTTTTTCACTATTCTAGGATTAATACCAAAACCTTTAATATGAACTTTGAGGCTCAGTGTGGTCTGGTCCTGCCTCATCTCCCAACTAGAGCCCCCTCACTCTCTAAGTTCTATATATATGACCTTCCTTTAATTTCTGGAATGTAGCATTTGTCTACAGTGTTTAGTTATGTGTTTGAACCCATGTGTAGCAAAGCACTGTGTACAGGCTCTGTGTATTGGCAATAAATATCTTGGTGACTGTCCAGAATGAATAAATGAATGCATGAATAAATGAAGTATAATATTGCAGGATAATGTCATATTAAGTGGATATGTAGAAGCCAAACTTCTGCTCTGCCATGCAAAATACATATTTTAAGTTGTTTTCTTCAAAAAATAAGCCACTAGTCAGCACCATTGCATAACATATAAACAACTCATTACAAGTCAAAGCAATAGCTTTGATTCCCACATGACAGGGCATATTCATCTGCACTGTGATTAGGAATACAAAGGACCCTTACATATCATATGCATTAATATTCATTTACATTAATTAATTAATATTAAATTAATATTCATTTACAGTAATCTGTAGAAAATATCTTCACAAAGATGTTAAAAAAATTTACACACACAGAAAAACTCATATTTTGACTGAGAAAGACACAGACGCATTGGAAAGTAAAAATAACTCGAATAACAATTTCTTTGAAAGAATACAATTTTAAAATAAATGTGTGGTTCAGGCTGTTTTCTGAATGAGATGCTGAAGTGATTCTGAACTGAGAGAGTTGTAATCTAATCTGGTCCATTTATCCTATGACTCAGTGGATAAAAATCAATTGTGTGGAGGAAAGGAAATTAGAGGAAGGTTAAGTATCTACCATGAATTACACAATGTATTAAGGATTTAATATATATTATCTCTCTTAATCCTTGCAGCGACCTGGAGTGTTACCTACTGTTGTCTACAGTTTACTATTAGGAAACAGAGCCTGGAAATTACACAAATATTAAGGAGCAAACATTTTATTTGTTTGACTTTTCTAACAACATCTCTTGATTTCCTGTGACTAATTGCAGAGCTCTCCTTTCTGTATTTCTCCTTTTAAATAACTACTATAGATTATTTTAACCTTTGGGGATTATTTTCCTATACAGATTTCCAAGTTACTGTCCCCTTCTAACCCTTATTAGAAACTGTACTTTAGTGTTTTTTTGGTAGCTTTGTAATCTTCATTTCTACCATTCTCTGAATGAGATGATTTACCAAAGAGCAATTACTGATTTAAAAGTATTTTTTCTTTTGAAATTTGTCATTTATCTGAATAGTAAATGCTGAAATTTTAAAATTTTGATTTCATCAAAAATGTTTGATGTAACAATACTCCTATACATCTTTTGTTGCCTATCTTTTAAATTATATTTAATATAGCCTACCTCCAAAGACCATATGTTAAAGGATTATTTCTGGGCCACTGGTCAAATTTCCTGTATTTTAATCTTAACTTCTCAAAATAAACTATAAATTCTAAAAAAATTACTTTAAAACAAAAAACTATTTATTCTTATAATACAAAATATTTAGACAAATGGTGAAACATTCTGATGTCTTTTACACAGTGTAAAGCATTAGATTTTTAGATTTTGGCTTAATGTTATTAAGTCATAGTCAATCATAGGGATGATTATTTTGTTACTTTTCGATGAATAGTCTCTACTTTTAGAAGCAGTCCTGTTTGAATTAACCAATTAAAATGTCGACTCCAGTTTTACACAGCCAGTAACTAATCATCTCACTTCTAGCTGTCTTTCTGATTTTTATGTAAGAAAATGGTTTAAAAAAACTTTTATGTTTTAGTAAAAATAACTATCATTATTGAAAAATAAATCTTCCAAATCATCAACTTTTTGTGAGCACTAATTTTTTGTGGATTAATGGAAAGGTGATAGGAATAACAAATTTAAACTTGAAACTGTACTACCTATAAACTATTGTCAATTCAAACTTAGATAAGGAAAGACTTTACTCCGAAAAAAAAAAAAAAAGACTATTGCAATAGGGAAAATGCTCCAATCTCAGAAATCTCCAACCATCTCAAAATTAAACAGAAAAAGTATTTTTTTCCCCATAAGGTAAAGAAAGGTATTATGAATTAAATGTGTTCCTCCAAAAGATGTGTTGAAATTCTAATCTCCAGGACCTCAGAATGTGACCTTATTTGGAAATAGGGTCATTGCAGGTATTTAAAAAATGAGGCCATACTTGAGTAGTGTGAATCCTTAATCCATTATGACTGGTGTTATGATGAGACTGTGTAGATAGGAGGGAAGAATGCCACGTGAAGTTGGAGCAGATCCTGGAGCTCGGTGTTAAACATTCGATCTCAGTTTGCCCTGGTTCACTGCATACCATTTCAATCTGCAAATTCAATTCCTTTTTTAAAAAAATTATTATTTATTTATTTACTTACTTATTTTTATTTAATCTCTTTTGTTCTCTTCTTTTGGGGTACCAGTTATGCATTTATTGGATCCCTGTGGATGGTATTTTATTTCTGTTATCAAGTACTTTGAGTGATTTCCTCAAGCCTATTATTATTTTGTGTCTTTGACTTTTTTATTTGTATTTATTTTAGTTTGTCATTCTAATATAGCTTTCATGTTTCTAGTAATGTTTATTTTTGTCTTCCATTTCTATCTTAAGCTCTGCCTGATAACTTTTAATCTTTTGTTGCTTTATAATCTCCTTTGTATCATGGTGTCTCCTTTTATAGCTCTTTTTTCTCTGTATGTTTGTATATATGTGAATGTATGTATGTGTATTATAAATATTATATGTGTATATATTACAAGCAAATGTAACTATATGGTTTGTAATTTCTTTGAAAGTATAAACGATTACTTGTCAGATGACTGTGTCTTTTTTATAACTACTTTGTGATGTATGTCTAACACTTATTGAGTATTTACTATTTGCAGACACAGCTCTAAACTCTTAATGCTAATTATATGATTTAACATAAATGCTTTATTTGCTTTGCATATACTATTGTACTTCTTTTTTTATAGAGATGGGGTCTTGCTATGTTGCCCAGGCTGGACTTGAACTCCTAGGCACAAGGGAAACTTCTACCTCAGCCTTCCAAGTAGCTGGGACTACAGACTTGCCCCACTGCACTCAGCCACATACTTTTTTTTTTTTTCCATATTTCTTCCTAATTATTAGCCATCTTTGAAGGAATAGGATGAGTTACTTGGAATTATAAAGCAGTGCGGCCAGGAGGGGATTGTAAAGTAAACTGAAGTTTCAGCCGACTCTATTGGGTGTGTTGTCTTGTTTGTCTGTAACACCTCCTTCTTTCCTCAACCAAGCTCAATCTCAGACCAAGGGTTTGCAAACTCAAATGCCTACAAGCACTATGTATACATAGGCATTGCAAGTGTATGATAAGCTTATGATAGGCAGGTCTACTTTGTACATTTAAAAACATTCTTTTTGTTAAAAATTATATACTAAGGTATTTTTCTCAATATTCTTACTCAAATTTCACTAAAAACAATAGTTACAAACAAAAAGATTAGCCATACGCACACACACTCAAAAAAAATTTAAAAAGCAAAAAAACTATGAAGAATTGAGACAGCACACTGAACTGATCTCAGTGAAATAAGGGAAGCTATCCCAATGCTAAACCAGACTATTAAGTACAACTAGCAAATGTTGAGAAGTCATCAGGAAGCTAAGGCAGCATGCTGAGAAGCAACACAGCCCACATCTGAAGAAATAGAGCATATTTCTTCCCTCAAAATAAGTACCTTCATGCTGAAAGACATATCCAATAATCTGCATATCTATATTTATATTTTAATTCTTCAGTGCTTATTCTTCCTATTGCAGTAGTTTGCATAGTCACCTCTTTGGAAATCATATTTCCATTTTTTTTAAATAGGGAGAGTGAATTATACCACACACTATTAATTCTACTCTACTTATCCTTATAAAGTTTACCTGTTATCTACTAGTGTATTAGTTGTCAATTTGTAGGTTTCAGAGTTTTTTTCACATGTCAACACATGGAAGATACATCGTGTGTTTTCTTGACAAATTGGAGAGAAATAAATGAGCATAAATTTTCCTTTCCACTTTGGTGAAATATTACTAATTCAGAGCAACAACACTGATATCTAATGTTGATCTCAAGATTTTATGGCAGTTACTATGTTTTGATTAACTTTTAAGCAGTGTGGCATCTGAATTGTTTGTTGACAAATTCAAGTTTACTCTTCTATAGATTGATGCTTTCAAATTATGGGACCCATGTTCATTGCAGTAAATCTTACTGTTATATAATAAATAAAAGTTCAAAACAATGAAGTGACCAGCAATATTGAAACTTTCAAGTGTATTATATAGTCATTAAAAATAATGTTATTAAAACATTTAATAAAATGTAAAATGTTCAGAATATAATCCAAAGAAAGAAAATGGATACAAAATCATATTTAAATAATCTCAACTTTAGAAACAATATATAAAAATATACATAAAACAATTCAGACAGGAAGTCTATTAATCTGTTAATTGTGCTTCTCTCCGAGTCATAAAATTATGGATAATCTTTAATTTTCTTCATTGTGTTTTCATTGTATCTTCTAAATTGTCTCCATTAGATATGGATTTTATAATAAGAATAAATAAAATTGTATAAGTAGTGATTTATAGAAGAAAAAATTGGAAAAAAATAGCCTATGGTAACAAAAAGTTTTGGAATTACTAACTTAATGTCACAAGAAAAATCAGCAAGGCAAAAGAAGAGGTAAATTTATTATTCCATATCTTTTTTACAAGATGACAATGACTCCTGAGACTCTTTTTAGATACAACACTGAACAAATCATGGTTACTTGACCAGCCTAGTAAATTGTTTAGTCTCAATGTGAAAAGAAGGACATGATGTGCATCCTCTGATTCCAAAAACAAAGAATGGTAAAATGAATAAAATTAATTAAAATAATTAAAGAAATTGTAATTTTTTAAACGTTTTCACTTTTTCCCCCTTACATTTTGTCTTTCAGTATGTTGAATAAAATACACTCAGGTAAACTTTTGGGTTTTCTATATCCTCCAACATTTGGGCCAAAATTGCTAGTAACAACAATAGTAACAATAATATTAATAAATCCAGTGTATAGAAGCACTTGTGAAATAAAAATCATATTATACAATTCAGTTTTGACTTAATAAAACAACTAGAAATTGTTAAATACAATATCATCTCAAGTGAAACAATGAACACTTAATAAAGAAATAATTTAGTTCTTAATTGAAAGTGTCATAGAATGCCAAATACGGATTTTGTATTGGAATAAGTGAGCCTTTCAATTTAATAGAACTGTTATTGCATTTTTCATGTTTTAGGTGAAGAAGAGTTCCCTAGGCTCAGATTTTAAGCATTGTCAACCCTCACACTTCAATGAATAGATGAAATTGTAGATGAGACCAAGAGTAAAAGTTAGCACTCCTGTTAGCCTTCTGTTTATTATTCTGCTTAACATCATTCTGGATTAGTTACAGTTACAAAAAGTTCTCTGACAAGTATTTGATGAGTTATCTTTAAACATCCAAGTATTTCAAAAAGTCATCTAAACTGTATTTCTGGTAGACCAGACACCCTTTAGTAATGGTTGGTTTGTAGCTACTTGCTTTTAAAAAAGTATTTTGAGCAATTTCACTGTGAAAACTGTATGTGCATATATATATATTCCAGCATGAATTATTCTCTAGGGGAGACTTTACCTTAAAGCATTCTGGTTTGTTTCCAAGGCTCTTGTTTCCATTCAGAAAGAAAGGTGAGGTCAGGAAGGGAACCTCAACCCCGTTCGGCATTAGGGTCTTTGTCAGCTATCACCAACAGCAGGGTTTATGACAAATGAGGAGCCAGGCTTCCAGCTAAATTTCAGTTTAGTTATTTTTGTTTTAATGTATGTGTGAATCAATTAATCCTGTCATAGAAGGGCATCGTAAACTGTGTGCCAGAGTTAATGAGTCAGACATTATCACATCATTACACCAGCTGGCATAATGTAGCATGTGTTGTTTGTCATAATATACACTGCCATGCTTAACAACCATTAATTGTTTACACGAGCAGTCATATTTTTCTTCAAAGAAGCTTCAGTGACTGGATAATATTTTGAAGTCTTTTTAAGTGAATAACTGTTGCAAGAAAAGGATATCTTCACTAAAGTAGTCTATAATGTAAGAAACTGAATCAAGGGGAAGACATTTAGATGACGGTGAATGTCTTCAGGATCAAGACATTTCTTCTTTTCAAAGAAAACCACCATGCTGCAGAATCAGCTAAATCCTAAGACTGATTTACATGATTGATTCAACTATTGTCAAGAAAATGTTGGTGAAGTAGAATTCCCTAGTGGTACATTTTTTTTAGAGGATCAATGAGGCCCATACCTAGGATACCTGTATTACCACTAAGACTTTCTGATAGAAGATACAATCATGGATTTACAATTTTTTTAGAAAGCATTATAAAAAGCTTGGCTATTTTTGTTTTCTTGGCTGATGAAAGGCAGCATGTGGTCATCACAGCCTAAAGTTATAGTTTACCAGCTCTCTGTGGATTGGTTTCAGGCAACTTCTGCACATTTTCATTGGCCATATGGCTTTTTCCAGCCAAACAGGAGCACCACAAGTTAAGGTAAAGTTTCCAAAAGAGTCATAGCATAAATCATGGTAACCTTTAACCCAGAGCTGATTTTCTCACTGGCTATTTGGTCATAGGTTAATAATGTCTCAATTAGCCAAACAGATTTAATAAAAAAATGAATTTACTGTAAACACAAATGATTTTTACAACGAACAAGCAAGTAAGAAATTAAACTAAATGCAAGAAATGAACACAAGGAGGAACTAAACTAAATGCTACTTATGAAAAAAGATCTGATAATGTATATGAAAGCACTTTGCAAAGTGCATACACTGCTATTGCACTAGAAAGTGCTACTATAATTATTGCTACGATTGTAACCAGTTTTCATGAAAACTGTTAAAACTGCTTATGATTATTCCTATGATTATGGTAGAAATCAAGAAAAAATAGCAATTTTATACAAATCAATTCCATAGAGTTTCAAAAATATTTTACATTGAATGGAAGAAGAAATAGTGATATTATGATGTACTGAAAATATTTCAAAACACTATTTTTTTACTTTTTTGGTTTTTATTGATATATAATACTGTACATATTTATGTGATACATATGGTATTTTGTTACATGCATACAACATGAAATGATCAAGTCAGGGTATTTAGGATATCCACTGTCTCTAGCATTTATCATTTCTATGTGTTGGAAACATTTCAAATCCTCTCTTCTAATTATTTGGAAATGTACAATACACTATTGTTAATTATGGTTACCCTACTGTGCAATTGAACATTAGAACTTAGTTCTTCTATGTAACTGTATCTTTGTTTCCATAACCTGCCTCTCTTCAGGCCCCATGCTCTCCAACGCACACATCCTTCCCAGCCACTGGTAATTATCATTCTATTCCCTATCTCCATAAGATCAACATTTTAAGCTCGCATATATGAGTGAGAATATGTAATATTTCTTTCTGTGTCTCTTTTATTTAACTTAACATAATGTCCCCCAGTCCCACTCATGTTACTGCAAATGACAAGATTTCATTTTTTTATGGCCAAATAGTATTCAATTGTGTGTGTGTGTGTATTATCCTTATCTATTTATTTATCCATTGATAGATGCTTAGGTTGATTTCATATCTTAGTTAATGTGAATAGTGTTGCAATAAACATGAGGATATAGGTATCCCTTTGACATGCTGATCTTTATCTCTTTGGATGCATATCCAGTAGTGAAAATGCTAGGTTGTATGATAGTTCTATTTTTAGTCTTCTGAAAAAATCATATAGATCTTACTGTGATCCATAATGGCTGTACTAATTTACACTCCTACCAACAGTTTAGAAGACTTCTTTTTTTGCATTCTCACCTGCATCTGTTAGTTGTTGTCTTTTTGATAGTAACTATTATATACCTCAGGTAAGATGATATATATCTCATTGTGGTTATGATATGCATTTCCCTGATGATTAGTGATGTTGAGCATTTCTTTGTGTATTTGTAGGCTACATGTATATCTTCTTCTGAGAAATGTCTGTTCAGATCCCTTGCCTGCTTTTAAATGGGGTTATTTGATTTTTTGCTGTTGAGTGGAGTTCTTCATATATTCTGGATATTAGTCCCTTGTCAGATGAATAGTTGGCAAATATTTTTTCCTATTCAACATACGATAAATGTGTAGATTTATCCTATTCAAATATTTTTTCCTATTCAACATAGGATAAATATATAGAATGTTGTCCATACATTCTGTTTATTGTTTCCTTTGCTATACAGAAAATTTTTAGTTTAATATAGTCCCATTTTTCTATTTTTGTTTTTGTTACCTATGCTTTTGATGTCTTAGCCATAAAATCTTTCCTAGACCAATGCCCTGAAGTGTTCACCCTGTTCTTTTTCCTCAAGCAATTTTATAGTTTTAAATCTTTTGTTTAAGTCTTTAGTGTATCTAGACTTGATTTTTGTATATGTTGAGTGAGAGGGGTCTAGTTTCATTCTTATGCATATGAATATCTGGTTTTCCCAGCAACATTTATGGAAGATGGTGTGTTTTCCTCAATGTATGTTCCTTATGTCTTTGTCAAAAATCATGATTTTAAATAAGTGAATTTATTTCTGGGTTCTCTATTCAGTTCCATTGGTTTGTGGTGTTTGTTTTTATGTAAATACCATGCTGTGTTGGTTACTACAGTCTTGTGACATATTTTGAAGTCAGATAGTGTGATGCTTCTAGCTTTGTTCTTCTTTCTTAGAATTATTCTGTCTGTGCAGGCTCTTTTTTGTTCCAAATAAGTTTTAGAATTTTTTTTTTAATTTCTGTGAAAATGTCATTGTTTTTTTGTTTGTTTTTTGTTTTTGTTTTTGTTTTTTAAGATGGAGTCTCACCCTGTCACCCAGGCTAGAGTGCACTGGCGCAAACTTGGCTCACTCCAACCTCCACCTCCCAGGTTCAAGCAATTCTCATGCCTCAGCCTCCTGAGTGGCTGGGATTATAGGTGCCTGCTACCAGGCCCAGCTAATTTTTGTATTTTTAGTAGGGATGGGGTTTCCCCATGGTGGCCAGGCTGGTCTCGAACTCCTGACCTCAGATGATCTGAGGTCTTGGCCTCCCAAAGTGCTAGGATTACAAGCTTGAGCCACCTCGCCTGGCCAAAAGTCATGATATTTTGGTAAGAATAGTATTGAATCCATAGATTGCTTTGAGTAGTACTGTCACTTTAATGATATCAATTCTTCTAATCCATGAGCATGGGATGTCTTTCCATTTATTTGTGTCCCCTTCAATGTTTTTCATCAGGGTTTTATAGTTTTCTTTCTAAATATTTTTCCCCTCTTTGGCTGAATTTATTCCTAGGATTCTGTGTCTGTGTGTGTGTGTAGCTACTGTAAATGGAATTTGCATCCTTGTTTTCAGCTAGGTTGTCACTGATGCATAGAAATGTTATTGATTTTTGCATGTTGATCTTGTATCCTGCAACTTTACTGAATTTATTTACCAGACTTAAGAGTTTGAATGGGCGTTTATTGGTATAAACATTCCTCTTTCCACTGCTTTTGCTATATCCCATAAGTTTTGGTATGTTGTGCTTCCATTTTCATCTGTTTCAAGAATTTTTTCTATTTCCTTCTTAATTTCTTCATTGACCCAATAGTCACTCAGGAGCATGTTATTTAATTTCTGCATATTTTTAGACTTTCCACAATTCTTGTTATTGATTTCTAGTTTCATTCCATTGTAGTCTGGAAAGATACTTGATATGAATTTAATTGTTTTAAATTTTTTGAGACTTCTTTTGTGTCCTAACATATGGTCTGTCCTGGAGATTGTTGCTTATGCCATTGGGAAGAATGTGTATTCTGCAGCTGTTGGATAAAATATTTTGTAAATACCTATTAGGTCCACTGGGTCCAAAGTGTAGTTTAAATCCAGTGTGTCTATGTTGATTTTCTGTCTAGGTAATCTGTCTAATGCTGAAAACTGAAGCCCCAATTATTACTGTATTTTAGTCTCTCTTTCCTCTTTGATCTAATAATATTTGCTTTATATATCTGGGTGCAAATTATATCTGCATGGAATGTCTTTTTTCATCCTTTTACTTTCAGTGTATGTCTTTACAGATGATGAGTTTCTTATAGGCAGCATATAGTTAGCTCATGTATATTTAATTCATTCAGCCAGTCTATGTCTTTTAAGTAGATAATTTAATCTGTTTACATACAAGGTTACTATTGATAGATGAGGACTTATTCCTGGTTTTTAGATTTTTTTATTGGTATATCCTTTTTATATCTCTTGTTTCTTTCTTTCTTACTGTTTATCATTGTGGTTTGGTGGTTTTCTGTAGTGGTAACATTTAACTCCTTTATCTTCCTCATTTTCGTTTGTTCTGCCAGGGAGTTGTATACTTTTGTGCATTTTCATGATGGTAGATACCATCCTGGTAGATACTACTTCAAGGTGTAGGATTCCCTTATGCATTGTTTGTATGGCCAATTTAGTGATGAATATCATGTTTTCACTTACCTAGGAAAAACTTTACTTCTCTTTCACTTTTGAATTACAACTTTGCTAGGATATAGTTTTCTTGACTGACTTTTTTCCCCAGCACATTGAATATATCATTCCATTCTTTCCTGGCTTTAAGGAAAGAATTTCTCCTGCTGAGAAATTTACTGTTAGTCTGATAAGAGTTCCCTAATAGGTACTTGATTTTCTCTTGCTGTATTTAAAATGTTCTCTTCGTTTATGACTTTTGACAGCTTATCTATAATTTCCCAGGGAGAAGAACCTTTTATGTTGTATCCTTTGAGGATCTGTAAGCTTACTGTATCTTGATGTCTAACTCTCTTGCTATACTTGAAAAGTTTCCAGCTATTATTACTTCACTAAATATATAATATTATACATATGGGGGCAGGTCCTTGGGTCCCTAGGCAGTGTGCATGACATCATTAATGGCAGTAGCAATGTTGGAACAACCCTTGAGGTCCCAAGCAGCATGCATTGGTGTTAGCGGTGGTGGTAATGAGCTGGACAGGCCATTTCCCAAGTGACATATGTGGGTCGGTTATGGTGACGGTGGCAGCAGGCTCTGTGGGCCTGTCCTCAAGCCCCCAGTAGGGGTGCATGGTTGCTAACTATTGTGAACAAAGTGGGGTAATCTCCAGCCCTTCAGACTGCATGCTTGGATGCCAGTAACAGATGATCTAGGTTGTTGTTAGGTCCCTTGATGGTATGCACATGGACCTAGGGTGACCAGCAGAGTGGGTGCAGTCCCCAGGCCCTTGGCTGTGCTGGGCAATAAGGGAGTCAGTGCCAGGCAGTGTAAGTCTGTCCTCACGTCCCTCTGAAAATGCACACAGGAGAAGGCTGTGGGGGGTGGGGGTGGGGTGATCCCCAGGCCACCAGACAGCATGCTCATGTGCCAGCAGCAAAGTTGTGTCTTTTGTCAGACCTCCTGATGGTGCATCCACATGCCCAGAGTGACAGATGCCACTGGACTTCCTCCAGGTCCCCAGGCGGTGTGCTTGAACACCGGGAGGGGCAGCACAGGCACAGGTACAGGCTTGGAGGGCAACTCAGGGCCATTCCCAAATCCCTAAGAGCATGATCAAGTGGTGGCAGTAGCAGTGGTAGGTAGGCAGAATCTGTCCTCAGGGCATATGGATGTATGCTGCAGCTCTGCTACTATGGGTGGTGGGGTTGCTGTCAGTGGCAGTGGTCCCCAGCAGGTGGCTTTCAGGCTGTGTGTTGCATTGCTTTGGCTCCCTTAGTCCAGAGGCCAACCTCTCCAGTGTGCTGTTACTACCTGTTACCTGGAGTGTAGGACTGTGTGGGCTACAGCGCTGGGGACCTGGCAGTACTCACTGCCGGGTCCACCTTGTGTTGTGCCACGGCAGCCTTCCAGGTGGATATTAGGGGAAGTCACTAGGGCTACAGGGATGTGAAGATATGGGGGCTATTCCCCATGTCAGTATACAGTCTAATGGATGCTAGGCTCTCAAATTGGTGTCATGTTGCAGCTGCTTGGGTCTTGGGGGACGTGGGACCTAACATGAGCTTCCTCTCTGGAGCAATGCCATCTCATGAACTCCAAGCAGCTCCCTGTAATAATCTTGTGTAATAGGGCTTGTGAAGGCTGAGAGGGCTTTCCCATGGCTAGGATTTCAGGAATCCTCAGTGGGAATGTGGACCACTGGGGATACGTCACTTATCTCACTCTGCCTCACAACCAGGATCTTCTGTGGGCTCCCAGGGTATCCCAGAGGGCTGGCTGCCTTGCTTCACTCTCCTTCCCTGCCTCAGGTGTTTCTTGAAACCTCTCTGCTGAATTCCAATGTTGTTTTTCAGAGGATCTATTTGAACTGATTATTTACTCACTGTTTTGGTTCTTCTTTATGGAGAAACCAAGTGCTGGGTGCCTCTAGTCAGCCGTCTTGAAAATCTGTTTGAATATTGGAATTTTGATGCCCTAATGTAACAAAAAAATTAAAAGTGAAAAGTATGCACAATTCCCTTACATGTTTTGATTATCCATATTAGGTAAAAATATTTCTATACAGCCAAATTTTCTCTGCAACAGTTCAACAGTTTTAGAATGTGTGATAGTGAATGCCATTAAAAATAAGTCTTTGCCTTTCAATTTATTATCCAAAAACATCCCAGTGATAAAGTTAGCACTAGAGATCTTTCAGGGTTGACAGAGCAAATAGAAATATGCAGAGAGAACGAAGTGGAATGGTAAGCAATCGTGTTTTTGACCCACAAAATAGTAATTTTATATAGTTCAACCTAATATCAGCAGTAGAAATTATCTAAACCACACTGAACTTAGAATCACTGGCACTGGGAGGCCACATTGGTTTTCTTAAATAGAATAATCCATGAAAAAAGGAGTAATGAGGACAAAACAGTCCTTTAGTTTGGAAAAAAGAAAAAAAGAAAAAAAACTCTAGTAGTTACTCAAGATGTATCTCACGTCATGGATGCAATAGAAGGGGAAATGTGAGACTTCCTTGGAAGTGAAGCAAACAAGATTCAGGACTCTTCCTTCTCTTGGACTTTTCCACATTCTGTTCCTTTCTCCGGAATATTCTTCACTCAGTCTTCTGAGTCAGTGACTTAAGCCTCAGATTAAATGTCACCTCTTCAGAGATGTTCTTTAACCATACATTTTAAAATTAGTCCTCCCTAGCCCATTCTCCTCCACTGCATCTATTGTTTTTCTTCACACACACATCTCAATTTGGACTATATACTTGTATCTTTGCTTATGTCTCAATTGTCTATCTCTCCACACATGAATCTAAGTTTAAGTAGGACAGGAACCATGTTTATAAATGAACAATAAAAATGTGTTACATGAATTAGCTGGTTAAATCTACTTCTTTTCCATTAATATATAACAATCTCTGATTTTTTTTTCATTTTAAGTATTAGTAATATCCCAATAAGCATAATTTCATCAAATAAACATAATGGAAAGGTACAAAAGTAACTTCAAATAATTAAATTGCACGTAAATAATAAAGAAGGTCAAAAATGAAATTACTTTGCAAACTATTGACATCATATACTGTATAGTGTTATTCTTGTTGGAAAGATATTTTGTCATGTTCTACAAACACTATACCTTCCCATAAAACCATCAAGACCTATTTTAACTTTAAGGATACATATAAAAATTTAAAGAGAAAAGAAGCAACCACATTTGACCAAGTAGATATGTGAACTTATTGCTTGGGATGGAAAAAAGGTAAAATCATTTGCTCACGTCATCACTGATTTGCTGAGGGTACTGATTGCCTGGCTACCTCCTATGGGATACAACTCTAGGAGGAGCATCATCTAATATTGCTGCATACATAATGCTGGGATGTATTTCAGTCATGAGATGTTGCTCATATAGCTGCTCTTCTGAAATTTAAACAAATTGGGTAGGTCATACAGATAAACATAAAAACATACATAAAAGATAAAAGGAAAGAAAACAAGGAGAGAGGAAGGGAAGAGAGGAGAGAAAGAGAAGGAGGGAGGAGGAAAGAAAGGATCACTCTAGAAATAAATTAAAGCAGAAAAAAATACATAAGTAAATGATGTTATTTATAATTTCTTGAGAACTATTGAATTAAGAATTCAATATTTGATTAATTCAAGAAAACAGAATACTGATTTCAGTGAATCTGATTCCTGTCTTTCCTTTTTAATTTATTTTTCTATTTATAATTGGCACATAATAATTATACTTATTTACAGCAAACAATGGGATATTTTAATGCATTTATACATAGTATAATGATCAAATGAGGGTAATTACTATAACCATCACCTTAAACATTTAGCATTTCTCTGTAGCAACAACTTTCTATTAAGACATATGGATATTTTTTAACTGCTCTAGTAATTCTTGCTAGTCAACTTTAATCCTGGTATGTTAATTACTGTAGTTCTTCCTTAGACATTTTTCTTAATTACTCCTATGTTTATGAAAATATTTTTATTGTAATTGCTAGAAAATCATTATACTTTTAGAGGAATAGTGAAAAGTTGATCTGAACTAGATTAAAAACTATTTCACAGGCATAACAATTTTCAAAATCTTAAACTTTAAGGTGAAAAAAGTGGCATATAGAGTCCTGTTCAGCAGTCTTTTTGCTTCTTTATGAATCTCAAATTTATTAGCACACTAAATTATGTAAATTGAATAAATATCTAATCTTATTAACAGTTCATTTTTTTCACACAAGTTATAAATATGTGGAAAAGAACACTAAGATGAGAGTTTTAGGCTAATAGAAGAACCCTGGGATCGAATGTGCCCAGTAACCATGCATCTCTGGAGTTAGGTTATCACAGTCAGCACACTGCTTTTTGCCTCATTATTTGTGAAACTTAGAATAACATTCTGAATTCCTGACAGACTTTCATAAAATTGCTCTTCCTTACTTTTAAACTATTAGTATCCCATGGACAGAAAATAAAGTAACACTATTTTTTTTAGTAAAACCATAGAAACACTTTCTATGTCATTCTCAATTATGAAAATTATGGCTTTTTGCCTCATTATTTGTGAACCTTAGAATAACATTCTGAATTCCTGACAGACTTTCATAAAATTGCTCTTCCTTACTTTTAAACTATTAGTATCCCATGGACACAAAATAAAGTAACACTATTTTTTTTAGTAAAACCGTAGAAACACTTTCTATGTCATTCTCAATTATGAAAATCACAAGTCACAACTTAGCCTCTGAAATCAAATTGCCTCAAAATTGCCACAGAACTCTTTCAATAGCGGATGAATTTAGTGGTTCTAATTTCTAATTTTCAGAACCACACATTATGTTTTCCAAGTAAATAATTTTGTTTTCAGGTCTATTTCTAGTTTAAGTTCATGGGACAAGCCTGATAATTGCCAAATTGTGACTTTGATTGAAAGGGTACATATCTCAGTGAGCGTCAAATTGAAGTCATCAAAACAACAATATGGAAGTTATCTTCATCCAAGCACTCTCCTGCCTCCAGATCTTTGCATCCTCCCACCTAGAATGCTCTTCTCAAGATAGCCAGAGCTTCTTCCTCATATATATGTGTGTGTGTATATGTATATATACACATATATGTATGTATACATATATATGTATATATACACATACACACACACATATATATGTATATATATACCTACATACATTTATACATACATATATAGGTATACATATTTACAAGTACATACTACATTTATAGATCATGTTTATCTATCTACTCTCACTGGAATGTAAGCTTCATGTAGGCAGGGATTTTTTTTT